>NC_000002.12:117186587-117489618 GCF_000001405.40 Homo sapiens
GAGATTGCCACTCGGCCATTCTTACCACATTGTGACACTATATAGGCAAAGCTGACTGGGATGACTGATTCAAATTACGATTACACAAAGAGGCAGGAACTCAGGTGATTCTCTGCAATAACACTTAGTACTTTCATATCCTATGGTAAAAGTGAGTTAAAAACTATAGTAACAACAAAAAAAGGCAGAACTATTGAGTCATTCACTGCAGAAATAAAGATTTAGGTCACCTCACAAAGAAAAGATCTCAACTATCTGAAATACTGACCACGGTCAAAGGAAACATGGAATGGTTAGTGAGAGAAAGAAGTTATAAATATCAGCTATGGCCTTATGACCAGTTACAAAAGCAGAAACCATAGAAGAAATGAATATATTTGTGTGTATGAAATAATTTATTCATGTTTTTCTCCTTACTGTTAATATTTTATATAAAACTATGGTTGCTATTAACTTAAAATTGAGTTATTAGGCAACGAAATATTCAGATGGAACTGTGGCTAACTTCCAGAGATGAATACAAATGTTGATACTTTGCGTCTCCTCATTTTAAGGAGAGACTTAGAGAAGATTTGTTTATAACGCAGAAGTTGCATCTTGTTAAGTGGAAATAGAAACCAAACACTGCATGTTCTCACTCATAGGTGGGAATTGAACAATGAGAACACATGGACACAGGAAGGGGAACATCACACACTGGGGCCTGTTGTGGGGTGGGGGGAGTGGGGAGGGATAGCATTAGGAGATATACCTAATGTTAAATGACAAGTTAATGGGTGCAGCACACCAACATGGCACATGTATACACATGTAACTAACCTGCACGTTGTGCACATGTACCCTAAAACTTAAAGTATAATAAAAAAAATTATCAAAATAAAAAAATAAATAACAAAGCTAAAAAAAAAGTTATTTTTGTTGTATGGAAGTTCAAATGTGTAAAAGGGTCTGAATGAATGCCAAGTAGTTGAAGAGGTGGAATGTGATTTTGTTTCTCAGCTTCAAACTCATGTTTCTATAGTTGGCTTTGTGATGCTGCAAACTTCATTTCTGCTTTGTCTTCTGGGGCTTGTTATACTATGTCAATAGGGGCCCTTGAGGTTGACTGGAAGGCTGAAGGAGGCAGAAAAATGTTGCATCTTTCTGACTGCTCCCTATGCCTGCCTATCTCATTGCAACAATCACCCTTCACTCTGGCAGTGGGTAGTAGTGGTGGGTTCTTATTTGCAATTTTTTCCATTCCCCAAAAGCAGCTTTACAATTCCTAAGGGGTACCATTCTTCATAACTGGCACCCACTCCTCAGGGTTTGGACCCCAGTTCTGTAGGGCCCCTCCTCCCGGATGCTAACCTCCGTGGTTGCTTCCTGCAGTTAATTTCTCTGTGATACCATCATGTCCCCATTGAGTATTTTTAGTTATCTAACAATTGGTTGAAAATTTATGTACAATCATCTCTGTTAAAATAACTGGTGCCATTTCTTTCTTAACACTAAAAAGATATAGTAAGGTTGTTTTGTAGTAGGAAGTTACTCAAATTTTAATCCCGTCCCTTGAAACTGAGTCTTAGAATTAACCTAGGGATTTCATGAATGAGACTAAGTAATGGCCCCATATCACCGCACTATCACCATTTTAAGCAACTTTACTGCTTTTTGTTATTAGGCAATTCATGTAACCTTTAGTGTATGTGTTTGGGAGGGTGGGGCAGTGATCATATCTCTTAGAAATATACCTGGACCATAAGAAGTACTTTTTTAAAGTATAAAAGAATACTTTTTAAAAGTATTACATATTACTAGTAATACTAGTCTTACTAAGAACTACTAGTATTACCTACTAGTTGGTGAGCTTGGACCAGTTAACAGTTAAAATATCACAGATGATGAGTGCTTGGTTTCAAACCCAGACTACCTGGGTGTGAACCATACTTCCTCCACTTCCCAATTCTGTAACTATGGGTAAGTGACTTCACCTCTCCACACCTTGTCTGTGAGATGAAGGTAATTACTGTAGCTAATGCATGAGGTTGTAGTAAGGATTAGATGAAGTAATTTATTAAAACCTTTAGAAATGTACCTGGACCATAAGAAGTACTCAGTGCATTTTGCTTTTCTTATTGCTGGTTAGCCATGTGAATCTGTGAATCTGGAAACTCACAATACTTTACTGCTAACACATATTGGTGAAGTCGTGTGCATTTCCCATTACAGTTTGATTGAGTTCATCTAACCTGTTAGCTGCAATCTGGCAAATCATCTTTCCTCATGGAACCAAATCCACACGTGCTTAGGGTAAGGCATGTGCTACGAACCTTAATTAGTGTCAGCAGTTCACTCTTGGTCTGCAGAAAAGGCAGTTCTTTCATTCAGGGGACATGAACTTACTGTTATGATTTATTCTGCATATGAAGCATTAGTAAATCAGTAGGGAAATCATATGAAATACAGGAAGTAATTTGATTTTTTTTAAATATTACATCTGGATGTGTGACATGAAACTCATAACATGACCCCGGTCTATTGCTGTCAAATTACTTGCCAAAAATGAAGTCTAGAATGGCTGATCAATCTGGGAACAGAGAGCAAGGACAACAATGTGGTCCAGGGTGCAAATCTGTCTAATGTTGCTAGCAGGGCCATCCTTGGGAAGGTCATGAAAGAAAATATTCCCCAGGGTTGTCCCAACAACATCTCTTTCCTCTGCCTCTCCACTCTATGTAACCTACCTGCCCCACATCCACTTTTCATCTCACAAAGCTCAAGAAGGAGTAATGTGAGCGGGTGTGTTTCTCTCTTAGAAAATTGTCCTCTAAACCTGATTACTTGCTGATCACTCTGATATTGTGAACACCTCTATGTGACCTCACTGTGAACATTCTTATCATAAACTTCACATTTTTGGAAATACAAATTTAAAAAATTGAGATGGCATTTTTCAACCATCAAATGTACAAACAATTAAAAAGATTCGTAATAACTAGAATCAGCTACCATGTGAGAAAATGGGCTGTCTTATACATTGCTGATGGCTATGTACAGTAGCATGAATTTTTCAAAGGTTATATGTCAATAAACAAAAATATTTAAATGTTCACAGCCTTATACTCAACATTTGCACTTCTAAAAATTGTACTAAAACAAACAAATGAAAAAGAACCAGTACTTAAGAGATTAACTCCAAGAACATTTGTTTTAAAACTTTTTGTGGTAGCAAAATTTGGGGAAATCTAATTTTCCATAAATAAGTGGTATGCAAATGTATTCTAGCCATGGAGATTTTGCAGTATTTTAGAGCTATTAAAACAGAACGGTTCCTGAGAGGGATATGAAAGTTAAGTGAAGAAAGTGAGCTAAAAATGAGAGCATATAGCATGCTACAATTTTATTTAAGGAGAAAGAGTATAAGAAAATAGCTGCATATGCTTTATTCCTGTGTATATTTCAGTTTAGAAGCACAAAAAAGACTATATCCATGTGTGTGCTTTGGTTGGAGCCCAGATGGAAAGAGTCTTTCGAGTGATTATCAAATTTTTTATGAATTATTATAGTGTTAAGTTTTATTACAATAGCTATGTTTTTTATCGATTTTTTTAAATCCAACAAAATAAACAATTTATCATAACAGAAGAAATTAGGCTACAAACTTTTTAAATGTCCACATCTAATCAGGAGATAATTAATGTGGAATTTGAACCCAGGGCTATGTGATCCCAAAGCTATCCTAGTTGTTTTACACACATTTCCTCAGGCCTTGTGAAATACGCATTCAAGTGAACAGGTGGAATCAGCAATTTTTGGCTGAGAGAGCATTCCCAGTTTCTTTGGAAATTAAACCCCACAGGAAGCAGCTTGTTTCATGCGGGGTTCATCATACCTATTGCTAAGAAAATATGCAGAACACACTAAACCTGGTCCTGGGCTCTTCTGCAACATTTAACCACAATTAGACACTTCCAACAGTGTCCAAGAATATTGGCACAATACGATGGCCTCATTCGGAGCAGCTAAAGAAAAACACTGCCCAGCACTAAGGAGATAAGAGGAAAAGGTACTGCTTTCTGACACTTCATTTTACAGGATCTTTTTCTTTTTCTTTTCTTTTTTTTGGCTTCCTTTTCAGGAAAGAAAGAATGGTGGATTTGCAAGGCAGCTCAGCAGGTTGAGCCATGAGTTCAGGTAGGTGCAATACGTAAACTGTACCTAAATGCACATCTGTCCACCTTCTACATGTGGCGGTTAAAAGGAATGATAACTGGTGAAGTGCTGCTTATCTAGTGGTTTTTTTAATGCAAATGCTGTCCTGCAGAAAAGGAGGAGCCTATGCAGAATTCATAGGCAGCCCGAGAAGTTGGTGAGAAAAGCAATAAACCTCTGTGAAAAGTCCTGCAAGGCAACATATCCCTGGGGACCTCATCTTTGGAGCATTACTATGAGATGTGAATTAAATCCTCTGCACAGAGCAGCCACCTGGTGCTTCAGAGATGATTACCATCATCCCTGGAGGCCGAGGCTTTCTGCATTATCAACCTAGCCTCATGGGATTGACCTATGGAAACCATGAGGCCTTTCTGAGCTCGGTGCCAGCAGAAGTAGGCATGCCCTTTAGGTGAGGGATGAATGCTAGTGTACCAAGGTATTCTCTACTTATGAAAGTCATGGGCTAAATTACGCTTACATTGATTTGTATGGTCCAGAAAGCACACAGGGGTGGGAAGACATGAAGAAAAGGGGTTGTCGCATAAATTACTCTAAAACCATGGTAACTAAATATCAAAGCACTAAATCAAGGGCAGCAGACATCCATAATGAAGTGTTCATGGAACCGGAGTCCAAAAATGCTGAGAGGACTATGCAATCCATTGTGGAAACTGCTATACTGTGAATTCAGAATAAGAAAATGAAAGAGGCAAAATAAATCCATCAGGACTGAAGGCCCTCCAGCCCAAATATAAAATATAAGAGATAGAATTTCATTTTCTCTGTTCCTTTAATCAAGCCAATTCACTTCCTTTTGAATCATCATTTTATAAATTCATGAAGATACGGGATCAAAAGAAAATTGCAAAAGAAGCAAAGTCCGATCATATAAAAGTAAGCTATTGCAGTTTACTTTTTCCTTAAATAATCCAGATATAGTTTATGTTGTTAGTCAGGAAATGAAACTGTTAAAAGCATTAGAAAGCACAGAAAAACATCAAATCCAGCCAAATATTTGGCTAACTTCATGACAATTTTTTTAGACAATGTCTAAATGTATTTGCTCTTGTCTTTAAGATAAAACTCTAAATGTCAACAAACATGTGTTACAGTCAGGACTTCAATAATTAAGTAACTTTTAGACCAGTGTCAAATATCATCTGTGTCCATAGCCATGTGTAATTAGATATAATTTCATAGTTTTCCTTCCATCAAATAACACCTGCACTTAAAATTATAACACATTCACATCTCTCATTTCATGTTTTAGATTAGTTTTGATTTGATTGAAAGTTCCTCATCCAACCTTTCCAATAGGGAGAATAGCCAGTGTGTCTACTCTTCCCTTCCCTTTCCTTCCCACACAGGGGCATGCACACAATGCAAAAAAGAAACCAGATCGTGAAGACCCACTAGTGAACTGGTGTTTGGGCAATGAAAGGAAACACATCCTAGAGCAGGTTTTCTCTTGAACATATTCATCTTGCAGTCCACGGAGACAATAGGGAGGAAGCTTCTAAGCGTGGCGGAGGGGCAACCCAGGGAAAGAGGCTCAAAGTGCTCCCAGGATAGCAGGTCGCACAAAGCTCCTTGTTGTCCCTGTTTGCTTGAGCTGCAAAATGATCAGCAGGATTATCTATCTGTGTTCAGAGAACACCTTCTCCATCCTCAGGGTTCAGGCCTGGCCGTGGCAGGTCTAATAACACTGAAGCAGCCCTTCAAATTGGCTGCTTCAATGCAGAAAAGCAAAGAGAAAGGCTAACAGGCCCAGGCACGTGGCAGAGATGCTCATTACCACACTAGCCAGAAAGCTGCCATTTATTTCGAAAGTTCTCTTTATCTCAGGCTCAAAACTCCCAGGGTATAAATGAAACAAATATTCTTTTAAACTGTTGTTGCCTTTGTCTGTATAAGTGAATCACAACTTTTTCAAGTACAAAATTTTTTAAATTAAAAAGAAACTCATGAATTCTTCTATGACACTAGTTATATCCTACGTTGATTCATTGAGAGTATAACGACCAAATAACTACATACATCCAATAATATGTTTAAATAAATGTTGTTAAAATTTATCACAAGAACATCTACATACATTTAATAAACTGAACAATGTTGACGTGAGATACTGTATTTAGTCAGATTACAGAGAATGTTCTGGTCTGTTTCAATTGAAAAGAATGAAAGAGAAAAGCATATGTTCTAGATGAAATTTTGAACTTTTGAACTTTTCTTCATTTCTTTTCTTTCCTGCCTCCCTTAACCCCCTAGTCCCTGCTGCCACAGGGTGCCAGCCATTATCCTGAAGGAGGGAGTGTTGGTGGGATGGAGACCACTGTGAAATTCTGGGGTTCCAAGTTTTAGTGTTTGACCTTTTCACTATAGAAATACTCCGATACTTACAAAAATTTCGGAGCCAGAAAAATGACCCTCCTGCAGCCACCACCCAGATTTGGCAACTAGATACACTTGCCAATCTTGTATCTTTCATCCAACACTTCTTTTCATCTCATTATTTTAAAGCAAATTCAAGATATGTATTTCTTCTGGAAATATTTTTATGGAATGTTTTTATTGTTGTTTTGTTGGTTAGTTGGTCATATAAATATAATATTGTTATCACACCTAACCAAGTTAACAATAATGTCTTAATATTTTCTAATACTCAATCTATATCCAATTTGCCTAATATTATCTCAAAATGTTTTTTGTGTTGGTTTGTTTAATTCAGGGTCTAAACAAAACCCACCTAGTGCATTTAGTTACCTCTTAAGTCTCTTTTAATTTCCAACAATTTTCCTCTTTTAAGTCATATATATATATTTTTTTGTTTTTAATAAACTGGGCCATTTGCCTTGGAGCATTAGTGGCATTTTGGATGTGGCTGATTCCTTCTCTTAGGTATCTTTAACTTGTTCCTCTTTCCCCAGTGACTTCTGTAAACTGGTAGTTAGATTTAGAGGCTCGAATAAGTTGAGTTTTTCTTTGCAAGCACAGTTGTACTTCTTACATCATACCAGGAATCATGTATAAGTAATGAATCCTTTTTTATCATGCTAAGATTGATTCTTAGGTATCTGGAAGCAATAAGACAAGAATGTTTGGAAAAAATGCATCAGAAAGGATAGTGTTTTTGCCATCCTCTTTGTTTGAATCGAGAAGGAAGAGATATTAACAGAGGAAGCTAGAGTTTGCTGGACTGAGATAGAGCTGGTTGAATCTTGCCGTCTTCCTCAGGTTGAAGTTACAACAGAGTCAAACATCAACGCTCACATCAATTCAGATTCTGAGGGTAAAGGTGGTATACACACTGCTTTCCACACTGAATTCTGAGAAGGCACATCATCCCAGACAAAACTATGATTACAAGACAAGTGATCTTCCCTGACTCAGCAGCAAAAAATTCTGAAGTACACCCAATTGGAGTTTGGAAATTAGCAAAGAGAATCCAAACACTGCAGAGAGTATCTAGAAGTCTTCTAATAAGCAGTCTAGAACAAGTGCTTAGAAGACAGAGGGTAGTGATCTCAGCAGATGTTCATATGGAAGGGTGATAATAGCCAAGAACCACGACTCTCTAATTTTACTTCCCAGCAGGTATTCAGTGCATAATAGTTCCTACTTAGAAGTATCATATTTGCCCAAACACAAGGTGATACCCAAAATGAGGTAAGTTTCCTGTTTTCTCAGTGAGATCTTTTGTTGTTGTTGTTGTTGTTGTTGTTTTGTTGTCGATGTTGTTGTTTTTGGTTTTGGTCTTTTTGTTTTTGAGACAGGGTCTGGCTCTGTCACCCAGGCTGGAGTGCAGTGGCACAATCTTGGCCCTTTGCAGCCACCACCTCCTAGGGTCAAGGGATCCTCCCACCTCAGCCCCCATATTAGCTGGCACTACAGGCATGCACCACCATGCCCAGCTAATTTTTGTATTTTTTGTAGAGATGGGGTTTCAACATGTGTCAAACTCCTGAGTTCAAATGATCCACCTACCTCAGCCTCCCAAAGTTCTGGGATTATAGGCCTAAGCCACAGTGCCAGTGAGATAATTTTTTTAAAATGCATTCTGGTCAGTTTGAACATGTAAATATAAATTTTTATGGATATACAAAAAAGAACTACTAAATATTCACTTATAACAAAGATTAATTCATGAATTACACATGCACATTTATAATCACATGTCATAATTTTCCATTCTCATATTTCACTAAACTGTATATCCAATTCTTTATTCACTTTATTCACTGCCCTGAATGACCATCTGTGGAAGTCCTACCAGGTGCTATCTACTCTGTATGGGATTTCTCATTTACCCCACAGAAGAGGTTTCTAAGAAAAGCATTATGAGTTCCCTTTCACAGATGACCAAGGGTAGGCTGACAAAGGCTGAAAAGGGGTTCCAATGTCAGATGAAATAAGGGGTAGGAATGAGATTCCGGTTCTGACTGTCAGCACAATATGCCATTTAATCTCAATAGGAACAGTATTACCCACAAGGGGCTAAAACTTGTTCTAGGATAGTAGAAGAGGGGGAGTAGACATTATAATAGTTTGTGGCCCTGCAAAGATTCACAATACATAAACAAATAGACACTATATTTGTGGTATTAAAATGTCAAGTTCTGGGCAGAAAGAGATCGATAAGGAAAAATGTCTGAAAAGCCTCTTCAGAGGACCAATAATGAAAGAAGTCTGAGAAACACTGCATTTACCCAGGGACTTCTGCTGACGATGCCTCATCGAGTAACGAACTCTGGTGGCACATTACCATTTCTGAGGTCTAATACTGCATTCCACATCACATCACTCTCACTTCCATCTCAGGTTCTTGAAATGTGCATATTTTGAATCTTGTGCAACAAGATATAGCAAGCTCCAAGTGGTACTGGAGCTCATATATCAAGTTCCTTCTGTAAAACTTTAGAATAGTTGCTTTTCTTCTATCTGCAATTAGTGTACATTTTTGGTCTCTTCAACATAACCACTTATGCATTTTCATTTTAAAGATTTTTTTAAAGCTTACTTACTATAAGCATTAACTCACAATTATGAAGTAATACCCCCATGAAACTAAGATAAATCTGTGTTAAATTTATTTGCCCATTTTTTTAATCAACTGTCAGGCGACCTCCATAAACATCCGGATTGTTACTTTCAGGCTTATGTGTCTCTGCAAAATTAGTAACAGAAGCGGGGAGGGCGGGGAGAGAGAGAAAGAGAGAATGAGGGGATGAGAGAGAGGGAGACAGAGAGACGCTCTCCATAATATAAAGGAATTTGTGAGGAATGCAAAGTAGGATAAGTCCCATTTTTCTGAGCATAAGAGTAAAGAAAAAAATCTGCCTTGTATTTGGGCACATATAATGATGTCTTCTCTCCACCAGTCATGTATAAAAATGGGCAAAGGAATGAAGAAAAGATAAAATATTAAATTTGAGTCATTTTTTAAGTCTGAACTGAAGAGGAATCACTAATTTTTCTCAGAAGTCACTAAATTAAATATTTTGCTATTAGGCAAAGTAGAGGCTTTATATACAAATTATGACACTATGGAAAAATGTTACATTTTTCACAAATGAGTGTATGGTTGTAAAATCTGTCACTATATATACTGGAGTGATTATAATAAAGAAATTAATAATATTTGATTTTGTACCATCAAGGTATATTGAGTTTTCCTTAAGCTCCAGACACTGGGCGAAGCACTAAGCTTGGAAATATAGCAAGACATACCTGACCCTGGCAAAACTCCTCACATTCAGGTTTTTTAAATTTTTTTTTATAAGTTCTTTGGTATATGTGCAGGATGTGCAGGTTTGTTACAAAGGTAAATGTGTGCCATGGTGTTTGCTCCACCTATCAACCCACCACCTAGCTACTAAGCCCAGCATGAATTGCATCTTGTCTTCCCTGACACCGTCTTAATACCAGATCCTGATTCTAGATTTATGCACTTGGCTGGCTTCAGGAATATTTTCAGAAGTCTCAGTGTCCATACCGCTCTTTAGTCCCATCCCAGTCTTATTCATTATAGCCATGGCTGATTGGGTGGAGATAGCAATGAATTACATTAAGACTTCAATTAACACAATAAGTTAAATCATTAGCTCTTTGGCCCAAGTTTATTGGAGATAGTATTACTCCTGCAGATAACGAAAATGAAATACTGATGGAGATTTTTTTTAGAAACTAGGTGATATATTAGCTAGGCCTCAATATCCTCTCCTCTAATTAGAGCTAATAATAATATCTATAATTTAGAGAATTATTCAGAGGGGTTTATGAGAAGATGCATGGAAAGCACTTAGCTAACTGCCTACATGGTAGTGTTGTGGTTTCTGTAGTTGTTGTTATCTAGAGTAGCAGATTGTTCCTAGTGTTGTGACTGCTGTTGTTCAGGTTGCCATTGTCCTATCGTCCACAGAGGCTTTTGTGAATCTGGGGTCCTGGTTGCATGCTCATACTTGGAGCTACTGTGTTTCTCCCTGGCACTTGGATCAGTTCATGAAAACACCTAATTTCAGTCTGCCAAATCAACCATTAGTGTACCAAATCTATCCTTGCTTAAAATGAGGAGGATGTTTGGAAGCTTAATTAATGAAAGCATTTCCTCTGTGCTCAAAGGAAGTGGAACTAATAGTATGTTTACTCCAGGGATGTGAACTTCATGTTTTCATTCTTAAACATTTGTGGAATTGGTAATGAGTTGGTAAGATTAGGTAAAAATATAAATAACCTCAGCTTCTGATAATTCTCATTTTTTCAATAAAACAGCAAAATTAACTTAAAAACCTTTTAAAAAGTCATATAAAGAAGGATTTATTATTATAAATCCTTACTATAAATCAGTCAAGTTTATCAACTTATATTGAGTACTTAGTAAATGCCAGACACTTCCCTGAGCACTAGGAGGACAAACGTCAAGGAGGAAGAAAGCCGATCCTTGAGTAACTCTGATAAACTGTTTGTTCAATATATTTTTCCATTAATGGTATTATTTATGGTAAGTGAATGATATTCCTGTTTTCAACTTCAGATCACACCCACCATCCCCAACTTGTCCCAAGCCAACAGAAATAAAAACATTATTTCTCACATGCTTTCAGAACTTTGATTTCACCCTGTTTTTCATGGCCCAACCCCTCTGTTTCAGCATTCCTAATTCTGTGATTCAACAGAAATTTATTAATAAAAACTGGATTTTTGTATAACTTATTGAATGAAGTCATCACTGCAGGTTGTATAGAAATATTACTGTTCTAGAAGATAAAGTCACATAGTTACTTATATTTTGCAAAGATAATTTGTAAAAGTCTGTATTTTTCAAATTATGATAGCTTTACAAAGAAACTAATGTGGAAATAAAATGACAAGAAAGAGAGGAAAGAACAGAACAGGTGGATGAAAAGAATATTCTAAAACAGACAATACTCTTGTTTGAAAGAGGAGAAAAAATGTGAAGTACTATTTTCTAAAACATTGTCCCCACTTCTGTTGTCTTCATTCATCACTTAATCCCCACAGCAATGGCACAGACTACATGTGCGCCACTTTTGGAGAAGCAGCAGCTGAGGCCCAGGAAATGTAAGTGCCTTAACCTAAGTCACATAACTAACATGTGGCGGACCCTGAGTTTCTGACCCACATCTATCTGCCTCTAGGAAACATTGTTTTTCCATTATAGACTGATTATAAAAATTCAATTATTTAACTTTGTAGCACATTTTTTTTCTAATGAGCTATTTTAAAATCACTTATTTATTTTGTGCTTTAAAATTATTTACTGTGACCCCTAAAATAAACATTTCCAATTATCAGGCCCAGAACATTAGTCTAATCCAGGGTCTCATTAGAGAAGACTTTAGTTTAAGGTAAAATCAATCTCCTTCCCTCAGATACTGTGAATACCAAGAAACACACTGTGTTTCATTGCATTTGTATCTCTGAGGAGACATCACAAACATGCAGAAGGAAGAGCAGAGCCCAAAGAAAAGGTAAACCAATCAGCCAAGTACAAATATAAAAGCCTTCAATCTAAAAACTCACCATGTGCAAGGCACTAGGGCAAAGGTCAGTCTCTTTCATCCAGAAAAGCAAAAGCTGGTTGGGCTGCAAGCTAAGACTAGACTAGAAATTCTGAATTGCAATACAAGAAAAAGGAAACTTTAAAGTTTTAGGGAATAAGTTCTTGCAAATAAAGTAACTATTATGTCAGTAACAGGGAAGTACATTTCTATAATATCTGTCTGTGAGTTAGCACAATCTAGATACATAATGAAGCATTTTTAATGTGTAGAAAAGCTTATGGGTGATAGACACATACAAAATTATTATAAAAAGATTACCTGTATGGCATGACCCTAGACCTTGGACTTAATATTGTGAAGGAAGGATGCTTATTTTTCAAACGTGCCCTTCTGCTTTTGACTAAAGATAGAATCTAGACTGTATCTACAGTGGCTTTATCCTAATATTTTACTCCTATGTTTTCATTCACTTGTTCAATGATCATTTACTGAGCATCTACCTGGTGCATTCACAGATGCAACAGGTGCAGGCTGAGCATCAACTTTTAGGACATGCATCAAGCTAACTGGAGCACAGACAATTCCTGAATATAACGTCCTACGTTCGGACATTCATCTGCTGATTACACATAGGATGTAGACGTTTATCTACTGATTATACAATTAGTTATGTACCTACAACTGAACTGTAAAAGGGGCCACAAAGAAGAACTAGGTTCTAAGAGAATACAACTGTATAGTCTCATCTGGTTCAGGAAGTTACGACTTGCTGAGAAAGTGAATCTGAAATCTGAATTAATCAGGCAATGAATGGTGAGCTGGGGAGGATACAGAGCATTCCAACAGGGAGTGGCACGTGTTGAAGTCACCACATGAAGATCGGTATCACTAGAGCACACACTCACAGAGGCACAGGAAGGTGGGAAGTGGTGCTGATGAGATCACTTTGCATTCTCATAAGCCACAATAGGAAGTTCAGAATTTATACTGTGAGTAGTAGGAAGCCATTGTGCTTCCTGCATCGTGTTATAAAACAAACATACTTTGTCAGCTGCCTGTTTTAGAATACCTTTTTGCAAACATTTGCTTACAAGTACTGACTACTGACTTCCCTACTAGATAGCTGCCTTTTTTTGTTTTGTTTTTTGAGACAGAGTCTTGCTCTGTCGCCCAGGCTGGAGTGAAGTGGCGCGATCTCAGCTCACTGCAAGCTCTGCCTCCCGGGTTCACGCCATTCTCCTGCCTCAGTCTCCCGAGTAGCTGGGACTACAGGCGCCCACAACCACGCCTGGCTGATTTTTTTGTATTTTTTAGTAGAGGCGGGGTTTCACCATGTTAGCCAGGATGGTCTCGATCTCCTGACCTTGTGATCAGCCCGCCTCGGCCTCCCAAAGTGCTGAGATCACAGGCGTGAGCCACCGCGCCCTGCCAATAGCTGCCTTTTTAAAGGCAAGGTACGTGTCCTCAAGAGCCCCTAGCACAATGCCTATCATGGTAGAGATGTATAGGTATTTGTTCTCTCTCAAGTTTCTCAGCAATGAGGATGGGAAGAAGCCATTAAAAAAAAAGACTAATATGAATGAACTATTTACAATGAGTGAGGCACTCAACATATTTTATTTATTCAATCCTCACAATAAATAATCATAATTCCCCTTATATACATGAGAAAACTGAGGTTCAGTAACTTGATCCCTATCAGAGTTTCTACAAAGTGAGGAAAATGTAATTTAACTCTGTTCTGCTTGACTCCAAGCCTTACCTATTTCCCTCTGTGTCTTTTCTGTACCCATTTCTTCTTATGAAGAATGTCTACTTCCTGTCTTCTCTCACTCTCTCTTATCAGATTATCTCCTTCACCTCACTTTCATACCAGCCATATTCCTCATGTAAAAGGGGGTACTTCATCTACTTTGTTCACTGCTGTATTTTTGGCACTGGGATGAGTCCCTGATATATGTTACTTGTTTGATAAATATTTGTTGGGTGACTTCCAAAATTCGGTCCTTCACCATCTGCTCTTCTTTCATTCACTCAATGTTACTTGGCACCTCCATGCTAATTACTTCCAAGTACATGTTTTTATTTCCAGCCCCTAACTGGGGTTCCAGACTGGAATTCCTGGACATCTTTTAATGTTTTGCCAGTGCTTCAAATTGAATATATTCCTCTTCTTGCTCCAACACCTTTTTCTCTTTTTTCCTAATTTATTAACATATGAACTACCTTTGCCCCGGAAACTTAATCTCAAAACCTGAGTTATCTTCATACCCTTTTTGCTCCTTATCCTGCACACCAAATAACTCAGAAGTCAAATCGGACTTCCTCACCTCTAGCATATGGACTTGAATGTAATTTGAACTCTTTCTTGCCAACTCACATGGTTAAGTATCTCCCAACTCTTTGTTCTAATTTCGGAGAATACTACCACAGGCCTTTCCAATGTTCTTTTTTCTTCCGCATATATTATCTTGGTTTCATTCCACACTGGTCCCCCATCACCCACCTAAAAATATGCACTCGCTTCAAAAATCTGTGAATATAGTAACTTTCCTGAGGATTTGGGAATATCACATTAAGGAGACTATAGTCAGCACCAACCAGGTTCCGTACCCTGTTGTCACTCTCACCTCCAACCTGGTCCCTTTCACAGCCCATGTCTTGGGCTTGACAACATCTCCACATTCAGCATCTACATCCCACTCTTGCTTCTTGTTCATGGTGAGTAGCACCACCAGGTCAGAGTGTGCTCTCCAGATTCCTGGAATTCCAATGAATGATTTTTTTTTTTTCCATTTTGTTACAACCACTTAGTTATGAAGTCCTTCTTATTTCTTATCCATAATATTTTCAAAATCTATCTATTCTAATATTATTATTGCAATTGTTCCACTATTGGCTGGCCCTCAGAGAATCTCTGCCTGAATACTTTCATATCTCCTAACTCTGCCCTCTGATTCAACCATCTGTAGTGATAACTCTGCCCCAGAGTTGCCTCCTAATACTGGTTTGCTCAAAACATCTGCAAATCTGGACTCATTAGCATGATATTTAAGCCCTTCCACAGATTGACATTATCTTATATCTCCATATCTCAAGTATACATCTCTACGTATGCAACTGTTTACACAACACTAAACGTTGGTCATCTCAAACCCACAGCCATTCTGCCTAAAACCAATACACTCACTTTCATCTTTGTCTCTCTTCCCAAAATGTTTTCTTTTTTATCAATTTATATCCATACCCTAACATTATTTATAGCCTTTTAAAAATGCTGTTTCACTCTTCCATAAAATTGATCCTAAATCTACCCTGCTTCTATTCCCACTTACTTTTTCATCATCATCTATGTAACCATCTCTGTGACAATAACCTCTCAGCTACCTTAAAGTCCACAGTACCTTAGAATTCACCCTTTGCATTTTTTTCTGCTGTATTTTAAGACCCGTGAAGTCAAGAGAGATATTTTATTGCTTTTTTAAATTCCTTATAGTCCTTGACACATACTAGGAGTTCAATTATTTTCAATAGTATTTGATTAAAATATACAGGAAATAATTTTCCTGAGTCCTAATCGCTTCTGTAGGAATAGTTTCTACTTAGTTACTTACCTTTAGGACAGAATTGTTCTCCATAAAATCAACTGCAAAGTTTAATTTGATGTGACCTTGGCTGTGTTTCCATCTCTCACTATGCATCTGAGGCGACCAGAGTCAACAGGGAAAATTTATTGGGGCACAAGGACTTCGCAAAGGAGCTTCAGTGGAAATGTCTTATAAAGCCTCCCGTTGGTTGGAAAATCCAACCTAAAAGGCTACTGTGTAGCTCAGCCAATAATCCCCAAACGTGAAGACGGTTGCTGGCAAAATTACAAATCACTAAACAAACGCTTAAATAGAAACACCCTAGGAACAAGTGAGCGGTTTGCAGTTATTTTCAGTGGTGGACAAACTGTACTTCTACTTAACAAGACCGTGTTCATTGTACCCAATTTGCTCTTGGTTCCCCATAGATAAGCATACTGTGTGTATCATATATTCACTGCTCATTGAATCACATATGAATTTTCAGTTTCCTCTAAAACCTCATTTACAGCCCAAATTTGCAACCAACTGGATACATTTTGCTCAGCTCTTCCTGACTCCTGTGGCTTTCTGATTTCACAGGCACCATAGGTTGAGTGCATGATGAGTAGGTTACAGGAGCTTTGATTTGAGTTCTTAAAATTTTCCGCACACTGAATCTTGAAAATCTCTACTGGACAGGAGTGGCTTGGGTGGACTCAACATTTTAAACCTGTTTTCCATTTGGCCTGTCTCTTAGCGTATTTCTTTCTAAGCTGGAGTTTTCAACATAGCTTGGACCACCTAGTCATAGTCACTTTCTGAGTGGCCTGGGCTTCCTCATTCTTAGATGTGATGTCATCAAGGTGGTGAGAAGACACAATTCTTAAAGGAAATGCTGCACTCATTTGTGTTGTTAGTAACTTATTTTTCTCCCCAACTTTCCTGTACTAAAACGAGAGAGTAAATTAATCTTATATGAATATAATCATTCAAATTGTATTCATATTTTTCATTTCTACCTTTACTCCAATAAGTTATTTTTCTTTTTCTCTGAGGGGAGTAATAGGGTGATAGTAGATGAGTGACTATTTAGGTTCCACTGTATCTTCAACTACTTACCTTAAGAGATGTGATAATCATCCTGACATATTAAGGGAAAGCAACATTCTAGAATAGCATATTAAGCAACAGCAAAAAGAAAGTTAATGCTTTCTCCTACAAGTTGCTTTATTCTAAAGCAAAAGACAGCTTTAAGATAGGCATCTTATTCTGTGAGTAATGGATCCAGGCTAAGAGAAGAGGAAGAATATTTTCAAGCCACTAAAAATTGGTGCAGTGTTACAGGCAGTATATTGCTTCATTTAAGTTCCCTGTTTGAAATATAAGTGTATTTGACATGGAAATAAAAGAAATATGAGGGTGACGCAGCTTAAACTCATTGGTGACATCTTTTCATAGGATTCAATATACATTATAGATCTGATTTTTTTTATCCAATATCAACAAATTATTTTAGCAAAACAGGACAAGAGAATACAGGAATGGCTTAGATGATGAGGAATTGCTACTTCTCTCATCATTCACAGTCAGCAGCCATCGTAGGTATCTGAGTGTGGGCTTTAGGAAGATTATCCTGGAAAATGATAGATTGTAGGAATAGAAGGCAAACTTTCTCTCTTTCTTTCTCTTTCTCTCTTTTTATCTCTTTCTCTCTCTCTTTTTCTCTCTCGTTCTCTCTTTTTGTCATGCTCTCACTCTCGCTCTAGCTCTGTGTGTTTTGTGCGTTTTGCTTATAATCCTTAAAAGAAAGAGTCCTATCATCAGTCCCTTTAACATTTGAACACAGTCCTCCCACACAGCCCTTCCACCACTCCCCCTGCCGACACACAGAGATGTAACCAACCTGTTTATCAATGTATGGCTCATGACTACCTGTATGAGATTTACCTTCAAATTTTGTTAAGTAAATTCTTGAGTTCTGTGCTATACACACCATATTAGAATACCTTCTTCTCTACCTTTGTGATCCTCTGACTTAAAATTAATACTAATCTTGTCCTATCCCTGATATGTACTAAAGAAGATAAATACCCATTTCTCCTAGTTGATGAAAATCTTAGAGAGGTTCCACCACCATACTCTGTAGCACATTCCAGGCTTTAAATGCCACGTCTTTTTTCTTCCTCCAATAGCAATACTAATGGTCTCTACTTTCAGCATAATAAATATCTTTTCTGCACCAGAAGATGTTTTATTTGTTCTATTTGAGGTATCCGTTATGAGGAAGTGCACGTGCATCTTGGGGCAAGTCTTTTGAGATACCAGTTCAGGTGTTCAAATGTGCACTCATGTCAGGCAAATAGGCACTCTGGAAGTGAACTTTAGATTTTATGTCATTCATCCTTATTCACTCCATACATCTATAATCATTCCTTTAAGAATATCATAGCCTCCTAGTCTTTAAAATTTGAGCTGGAAGAAAAACTGTGTGTGGGTGTGGGTGTGTGTATATATACATAAATAGATAGATAGACAGATAGATAACTCTATATAAAAACTGTATACTGTTTTTATATCTACATTGTATATATATATATATACCGGTATATATATATATACCGGTATATATATATATACAGGTATATATATATATACCGGTATATATATATATACAGGTATATATATATACCGGTATATATATATATACAGGTATATATATATACAGGTATGTATATATATACACACATGCACACAGTTATATATATATATACACACACACACACACACACACACAGAGAGAGAGCTTTGTTGTTACTAACTTACTAGCTTATTTTTCTCCCCAGTATATATATATATATATATAAAATATATATAACTGTAATATACATATATATAAACAGTAGCAAGAGAATGCAGAGTATAACAGCTGTTGAAATTTAAATCCTTAATATACCAAGGAGCAGTTATATATGTATATAATATATATTATCTGTTATATTCATATATATAAATAGAAAGATTTTACATATGTATATGTCCTATTGCTCAATGGAAAATGCTTTTATAGGACTATAACTAGAGAAATATAAATGAACCTGATACAGATATTAATATCTTTATCTACTACAATGAAAACCCAAATAATTACTTTGGAAGTCAAGACATGTTCATCTCACTGCTTGTGGGGGTCTTGCAGAAAAAAAAAAAAACTAGCTATCAGCAAAGATAAAAAGTATAATAAAAGCCAAAAGACGTCCAAGAACGTTACTGAGAGCCTCTTTCAATTACAAAGAGTGGAACAATGAGGGTACAGACAGCAAGGATTTTAGACATGTGCTATTCAGGACCAACCAGAGTTTCACAAAAAGACTTTCCTTCAAGAAGAGGTATCATGGCCAGCCCCAGGGGTGGGAAAACGAATAATAACAGGTTGTGGAGTCTTTGAAGAAGGAAAGTACTACAGAAAGGCAACCCTTTGAGCTTTGGTGAAGAAAGATATGGTCTAAGCATAAAGTGCTTTCCCAGCCATTCTACCAGTAAGTCATAAATCCTCTGAAGGCTGCAAGAGAATGGAAAGTATAACAGCTGTTGAAAATCAAACCTTTAATATACCAAGGAGCACAAGCAATGTCTCCTTTCTATCTTAAAATGTGGAAACCTGACATTTCCAGAGACATTCAACAATTAACCTATAATTGAAGCAGCAGCAATTTCCAGAAACACAAGAAAGGGCCATGAGGAAAGTCTCTAAGGAGAAAAGGAAATTTGGAGTGTTGTTTATTATAATAACCAGGGTGAATAAATTTGTGAAAACTCACTGAAATGTACACTTAAGATCTGTGCATGTTACTGTATGTAATTATATCTATAGTTTTAACAATTGTGTTGAATGTTTTTGTAAAAGGTTGATAGGCCGCTTTTAACATTTTCTATGAAACTGCAATGCATCAGATAGATCCCAAATCAACTTGAAGAAGAATAGATTTGAGGACTTTACTGGATAGAAAGTTTTATTATAAAGATATAATAATTTAAATGCCGTGGATTGTTGCAAAGAAATATAGGCAGAAATTGAATGGAATGGAGTTCAGAGGGAGAACCTCACGTATGTGGATATTTGATGTATGAAACAATGGCACTGCAAGAGAGTAGAGAAAAGATAGGCTCAGAAAAAATTAATGGAGTTGGGCATAGTGGCTCCTGCCTGTAATTCCAGCAACTTGAGAAGAGAATTACTTGAAGCAAGGAATTCAAGACCAGCCTGAGCAACCTAGAGAGACCCTATCTGTACAAAAATTAAAAAACTTAGCTGGATGTGGTGGTGCACCTGTAGTCGCAGTTACTCATGTGGCTGAGGCAAGATGATTGCTGGAGCCCAGGAGTTTGAGGCAGCAGTAAACTAGGATCACACCACTGCATTCCAGTGTGGGTAACAGCAATACCTTGACTTTAAAAGAAAAAAAAATAATTTCAGTTAACTAACTATCTACATAGAAAAAGAATGAATTTTTAATCTCACTTCACATTATATTCAAAAATACATTGCTGCCGTATTGAAGAATTAAATGTGAAAAGGAAAATAATAGAATGTTTGAAAAATAATACTTAGAATACATTTATAATTTCATGTTTTGAAAAGATTTCCTTGTTAGAAAAGAAAAAAGTATGAAAATAATGAGCTAAAAATATCCAAATTAAGAAGTGAGGATAAGATGAAGAATAAATCCAAAGATACCAAGAGGAAGAAAACATATAAGAACCAAAATTAATGATTGAAAAATACCACAGAGAATATCAATAAGTCCAAAATTTGATTATTTTAAAAATCAAAATGGATAAACTACTAGCAGGAATGATAAAGACAAACATAAATAACAAAGACAAAGAGACATTTTCAAAAGAATGTTAGAACTAAAAGAAAGCTATAAATGCAGATGAAGCAGAGATTAAAAAGATAAATGAGGATATACTGTAAGCAATATTTTTTCAACAAATGCTAGACTTTGATGAAATAAACTATTTCTGTAAAACATGAATTACCAATTGTGACACAGGGAGAAATTAGGCCAAGATAATTTTCTTGATGAGTTCTGCCACACATTCAAGAATCTTATGAATACTGTCTCATAATCAAGAAATAGATTATTCAAAAACTGGATAAGCTTTATTGTAAAATAGTAAGAGATATAGTAATTTTTCAGATAATGCTGTGCATCTCATTTATCCTTGGTAACAAAATCAAAGATAAAATGAGAAAGGCATCTAATTATCCAAGCTTACTTCTGTATATAATCCCAAAAACTCCAAAGAAAACGTTAGAAAATAAAATGCAGAGACACTCATATTCTTAAGAATTTAAATACAACATGTCTAAGTAGGTTTATTTCATAAATATAAAATCAATTTCACTATAATACAGTGTATTAATTTTTCAAATTAACATTTCAAAAAAAGAAAACTACATGATTATCTAAATAGATGCAAAAGGCAAACTCAGAATAGAAGGTAGTTTCCTTAAAGTACTGTGACAGAAATAGCTAGGACTTTTTGGTATCCTTATTCTCTTCTCATCCCAGCATAGATTTAGATGACCTCTGGAGCCTCTTTCGGAGCTAGATGTGACTACATGGCAGAATTCTGGCTATTCTAGTGCAAGAGGAAAAAGATGTGCATTGTTCCCAGGCTCAGATCATGAAAATCTCCATCAGGATTTATGCAATCTCCTCTCCATCTGCCTACTAAATTGACAGGACTCTGAGGATTAAGAGCCACAAAATGGAAATTACTGAATGAGTGTGTACAACAAAATATTCCCTACCATAGCTAGCAACAAGTACTGTCTGTGACAAGAGCAAGAAATACATTTTGAAGTGGTTTGTTTTAGTAGCTAAAGTTATCCTGACTGATACATTTGATAAAGGATATTTACCAGCAGTTCACAATGAACATACTACTACATGTATATATTAAAGATCATAGCCTGCACAATAAAAAGAAGAAAATAAATAAATTAGAAAATAAATAGTTTAGAAACAAAGACACAGTATTAGTTCTAGTCACAGAATATGATTCTCCAAATAGTATATGCTATCAGCTTCATCAACAAGTAACCAGAATACCAAAGAAGACATAGAAATGGCTAACAAGTATATAAAAACATGCTCAACATCACTAATTATCAGAGAAATGCAAATCAAAGCCACAATGAGATATTAAGTCACACCTGACAGGATCACTATTATCAAAACTACAAAAGTCAATACTTATTGGCAAGGATGTAGAGAAATTGAAACAGCATGGAGGTTTCTCAAAATATTAAAAATAGAACTACCATATGATCTGCAACCACTTCTGGGTATTTATCCAAAAGAATTGCAATCAGGGTCTAAAAGTGATATTAGCACTCCCATGTTAACTAAGAGATGGAATCAACTCATGAACTAGAGAATCAAGAGCAAACAAACCCCAAAGCCAGCAGAAGACAAGAAATAACCAAGATCATGGTGGTACTGAAGAAGATAGAGACATGAAAAATCTTCCAAAAAAAAAAAAAATCAAAGAATCCAGGAGCTTTTTTTTCGGAAAAAAAAAAAAAAAAAAAAAAAAAAGATAGGCCACTAGCTACACTAATAAAGAAGAAAAGAGAGAAGAATCAAATAGACACAATTCAAAATGATAAAGGGGATATCACCACTGACCCCACGGAGATACAAACAACCATCAGAGAATACTATAAACACCTCTATGCAAATAAACTAGGAAATCTAGAAGAAATTGATAAATTCCTAAACACACACCCACTCCGAAGACTGAACCAGGAGGAAATTTATTCCCTTAATAGACCAATAACAAGTCCTGAAATTGAGGCAGTATTAAATAGCCTACTAACAAAACAAAACAAAAATAAAAAAAAAAAAAAAAGCCTAGGGCCAGACAGATTTACAGCTGAATTCTACCAGAGGTACAAACAGGAACTGATACCCTTTTTTCTGAAACTATTCCAACCAATTGAAAAGAAAGGACTCTTCCCTAACTCATTCTATGAGGCCAGCATCGTCCTTATGCTGAAACCTGGCAGAGATACAACAACAAAAAAGAAAACTTCATGTCAATATCCCTGATGAGCATCAATGCAAACATTATCAATAAAATACTGGCAAACCAAATCCAGCAGCACATCAAAAATCTTTCCACCACAATCAAGTTGGCTTCATCCTCGGGATGCAAGGTTGGTTCAACATACACAAGTCAGTAAATGTAATTTATCACATAAACAGAACTAAAGACAAAAACCACATAATTATCTCAACAGATGCAGAAAAGGCCTTTGATAAAATTCAGCATCGCTTTATGTTAAAAACTCTCAATAAACTAGGTATTGAAGGAACATACATCAAAATAATAAGAGCCATTTATGACAAACCCACAGTTAATACCATACTGGATAGGCAAAAGCAGGAAGCATTCCCCTTGAAAACTGGCACAAGACAAGGATGTCCTCTCTCACTATTCCTATTCAATATAATATTGGAAGTTCTGGCCAGGGCAATCAGGGAAGGGAAAGAAATAAAGGGTATTAAAATAGTAAGAGAGGAGGTCAAATCGTCTTTGTTTGCAGATGACATGGTCCTGTATCTAGAAAATCCCACTGTCTCAGCCAAAAAGCTTCTTAAGCTGACAAGCAAGTTCAGCAGTATCAGGATACAAAATCAATGTGCAAAAATCACAAACATCCCATATGCCAACAACAGACAAGCAGAGAGCCAAATCACAAATTAACTCCCATTCACAATTGCTACAAAGAGAATAAAATACCTAGGAACACAGCTGACAAGGGAAGTGAAGGACTTCTTCAAGGAGAACTACAAACCACTGCTTAAGGAAATTAGAGAGGGCACAAACAAATAGAAAAACATTCCATGCTCATGGAAAGGAAAAATTAATATCATGGAAATGGCCATACTACCCGAAGTAATTTATAGATTCAGTCCTATTCTCATTAAACTACCATTGACATTCTTCATAGAATTACAAAAAGACTATTTTAAAATTCACATGGAACTAAAAAAGAGACCCATATAGCCAAGACAATTCTAAGCAAAAAGAACAAAGCTGGAGGGATTGCACTGCCCAACTCCAAACTGTGCTACAAGGCTATGGTAACCAAAACAGCATGGTACTGGTACAAAAACAGATACATAGATCAATGGAACAGAATAGAGAACTCAGTAATTTTCTGTATCTATGTATCTGTTGATGAACACTTGAGTGTTAATGGAATTTGAAAAGCCATATTCTAACATCTAAAATCTAAATATATATGGAAAATGAAAGGGCCCAAATAGCTGATACACTCCCTGAAAGAGTAACCGGTCATGAAAATTGCTTAAAACACTATCCCTTCACTTTATTAGTTGACAAAGGGTGGACACTGCATGGAGAGAGACTGATAAATCAATGAAACAGATTAGACTCCAGAAACAGAGTAACACATAATGTAAATAAAGGCAAAATGGGAGATCATTAGCTATAGTGTAGAAATAACTGATTATCCATGTTAAAAATATGTTTTGAAAGGGTCCTTTATATCACACACACACACACATACACGCACATGCATCCTAAATATAAGAAAGACTTTACATTGAAAGAAAAAACATGAAACCTAAAAAGCTTTAGGAGGAAATCTCAGACAGTTTGGAGTTTGGACTTAAAAAGCACAAATCGTGAAGGAAGAAGATCTTGATATCTTCAACTCTATAAAATATAAAAAATTATGTTTATTGAAAGCCTCCAAAAAGTGATTGTATAAAGGAGCCACAGCTGAGAAAAGAAACTTTCAAAACATGTGACTGGAAAAGGATGTGTGTCAAGGCCTTTGAAATATCCTATCAATCAGTAGAGAGTCAACCTAATTAAAAATGGACAGAAGATACAAGCTATTTTCAGAGAAGAGAAAAGATGAGAAGAGAAAACATGAATAAGAATATAAATGTAAATGGTCTACTTATTATTCATCAGCAAGATATTAATTTAAAAAGCAATAATTTTACATTTATCCAATTTGGCAAAAAATTTAAAGGACTGCCAAAGGACATGAAGAAGGAACCGTGACTTCCGGAGAAAATACAAATTTGTGTAAAAAATGATTTTAAAAACAATTTAATATTACTTAATCAAACTAAACATACACATAACCTATAACTTAGCAAGGCGTACTCAGAGCTCATAAAAGCATGTAATAAAACACATGTACACATACACACACACAAAACTGTAAACAAGCTAATATTCATGAATGGTAGCTGGACAAATAAATTGGGATCATTCATTCAGTGAAATATCCTACAGCTATGAAAATGAATGGCCTGCCGCTATGTATGTCTAAATAGCCAATTCATCACATGTTAAGCAAAAAGTGCAAGGAACTGAACACACAAAGCATGTTCCATTTATTACATTTGGAAAAGCCAGAACTAGAAAATATATCGTTTATAAATATACATGAAGTAAAAGGAAAATGGAAATGAATGACGTGATTAAAGCTACAGAGGTAGCGAGGGAGGACAGGACTGCAGGAAAGTTAGTTGCATTCCTCGAAGACAAGGGTAATGACCTAAAGCTGGATAATGGGCTCATAGGGTTTATAATATTAATATTCTTTAAATTATACCTAGCTCCTTTTTGTGCTTTTCATATATTTTAATATTTAAAATAGTAATGCAAATAAAAGCCCAAAGTGTGTGGAACAAAAGCTATTACTCTATTGATATCACCAGGAATTTTGGGTTTTTAAACTAAAAAAAATTCAAAAAAAGTCCGGACTAGATTTTATTTTATTTTACTTAACCTTCTATTTAGTTGATATAACTTGACATGGAAAAAATAGTTACAAAAGTATGCTTGAGGCTCAAATTCACATTTGATAAAGCATACTTCTTGAATTCTTCCAAACAAGCATTTTTAAAACCTCTGTTTTTAAAACCTCTGTTTTAAACCTCTGTTTTTGACAGATATTGTATAAAATATTATTGATTTTCTACATTATTTTCAAGCAACCTGTAATTTTTGTGCATTTGAATTTTTCCACTCTGCTTAAAATATTCCTACAAACCCTCATTTTAAGAGATACATTAAATAAGGCCAGTCTCTCAATGTGGCCCAGGAAGGCAGAATTACTGGGGTTTGTGCAATTCTTTTCAGATTGCATATATTTGAAATGTTACAGTAACCACTACAGCACTGGATGCCAGAGCTGTGCCAGTCCCACAGCTTACTGACTTACTTAATTTCTTTTATGTCCAAAGGCCCCTGTCTCATTCCCAGCTCTTTGTATTCTCCAGAAACACTGTTACTCCCCATGCATTCCGCTGTGCCTTTGTGCCTGCTATTTTGTTTCTTGGAATTCCCTGGCTTGGTGTTTTGTCTGGCTAACTCATTGATTATTTCAAACTTGCTTGGGAATCACATCCTTCATACCTTTAATTCACAGTGGAGTCTCTGTACCTGCAGCAGCAGCGTGCACTGGAGGTTTGTTCAGAATGCAAACTCTTGGGCCCAACCCCAGACCTACAGAGTCAGGCACTCTGGGGGTGGGTCCAGCATTCTGCTCTTTTCATCCCTTTGAGTGACTCTGACCCATACCAATATTTGAGAATGTCTGGAGTAGGAAAAACATCTGTTCTTTGTGTTTCCATGTGACCAGCCTCTACTCACAGTGCCACTGTATCCTCACCATATTATGTTAAAACTCCATGTTTGCCTGTCTCTCTGTATGAGGCACAGACTCTTACTTACCTTTGTATTCACAGCTCCTGACTATGGGAGACACTCAGGAGAGGTTTACAAAACTGTAAGATCTAAAATATTTTAAAGATGGTCATCAGAGGCACAAAGGAGACAGATCAGTATTTCAGAGCCCTGCCACCCATCTTCCTACTAGAGATTTATCCCACAGCCTAGATGAGAAGTATCAGTCATCTTAGAAAAACTTGATGTCAAACTTAGAAAACTTTGACAAGAAAAAAATAAGTCAATGTGTTTGTGAGTACTGGTTCTAAAACTAAGCCTGCTGATTTTCTGGCCATAAATGTAGCAAGAGAGTGATAATTCTGAATTCAAGAGAAACTCATTCTACTTAAACACCTTTTTTTCTTGTCAAAAGTTATACATTAGCAGCCAGTGCCAGGGAGAGGCCATATCCTGATGGTTCACACCTGTTGCACTAAAGTGTTAATTGAATGCAGATACCAGGGAAAAGCAACTTCCCAGGCATGTGCATTAAGAGACAAAATGGCCGAGTATGAGCTTCCAGGGACACACCCCTGTAAAAGGGAAAGAAGCCTCAGATGGGCTTGTGTGTAACTTCTTAAACACACTGCATGTGCTCACTTCCCAAGGGTAAGGAGGGCAACGTGCATGCGGGCAGCCCACCCTAAGGGAAGAATCACGGGAAAGGGGCCAGCCTATAAAGTCCTAGGATCAAGGTTGAACACCACACTGGGCCTTTATGTGCCCTCTTCGGTCTCTTCCAAGCATACTTTCTCTTTCTTTCCGGTTCTAAAACCCTTTAAAATAAACTTCCACTCCTGTTCTGAAACTTCCCTCGGCCTGTTTTTCTGCCTTATGCTTCTCAGACGAATTCTTTCTTCTGAGGAGGCAAGAATTGAATTTGCTGCAGACCCATAGGGATTAACCACCAGTAAGTCAGACACCTTCCACTGGTGACACAACAAGGACTACGGAATTCAGCAGCAGGTATGTGAAGATTCTTGTTTTGGGCCCATTCATGATTTTTAAAACAAATTTCTTTTGACAGCAGAAAACTTGCCTATGTTAAAGATTTCGCAAGCAGGAAGTGAGAAGAGATGAGAATGTGCATCAGATGGAAGTTTGGGTGAAGGGCAAGAGGAAGGTCAGGTTAGAGGGAGAGAGAATGGTTGAAGAAAAAATAAAGGGCTTAGGATGAATACTAACAGCTGTTGAGTGTTAACCCTATACTATGATGCAAATCTAGTTAGTGTGTCTTGCAATATTGAAAATGTCTTCTCAACAAGTGTGTTGAGATTGGCAGATCCTAAAATCAGAATGCAATGCTATTATACCATAAGCTCATTAAAGACTATGATTGTTTTTCATGTCTAATATTGGAACATATACGCTCCTCGTTTTCTTTGTTCAATACATATTTTATGAACACCTACTATGTGTCAGGTACCAGGCACTGACATCCCCAAAGAGCCAGGCTGGATGTAGCCACTGCCCTGAAGGAGATCACAGACAAGTAGACAGGAGGATGGGTCCAGGCTTAGTTCGTCCTCACATGCACTCAATCCTCACCTCACAACAGTGTCAAAGTCACACAGACTTGAGCCTCCCATTCTCCTGCCTAGGCCACTGTTCCTCAAACCTGGTTAGATTGCAGTAAATCTGGGATTTACAATGTTTTAGACAAAATATCACATATAGTTGTCTTTTTCTTAAAAACAATGTTTTACACTAATTCAAATAACACCTCATATTAGTGCCTTGTGTTTGCTCATTTATTCATTCAACTAAAATGTACTGATAGCTTATTATGTGCCCATCCCTGTGCCAAACACCAAAGATATGATGACAAACAAGATGGACACAGTTCCTGCTCTGAGTCTCATGAAACTATTCCATATAGACAGAGGACAGGTCATGAACAAACCAAAAGTACAGAGGAAAGAGGAAGAATACCTGTTTTTTATATGAAAAGGGTGGGTGAGTCAGAAAAGCTTCAGCAAAGAGATGATGGCTGAGTGGAGTCATGAAGAATGAGTCTCTGTTTAGCAGCATACAATGGGGACAGGGAGGAGCATGGGGAATTAATCTCGAACTTGGAGAAAAGCAGTCCATCAGAGAGAAGATCACCACCAGACAGGGCTGGTGGTTATGGCTGGAAGACATGGTGCTTGACAGACAACAATAGTAGGTGAGACCAAAAAAAGAGGCCAGCTGAAAACGTCCTTGTACTCCCTGCCAGGAGCTTGACATATATCCTCAGGGCAAGCAAGCAAGAGTGATGGAAGAGCCAAACAGAGACATGACTGACTTAGTCAGGATTTTGGAAACATCAAGAGGTGTTGTGTGACGGAGTTCTGAAGGCAGGCACTAGCCAGATACTGGAAGGTGATGTAGGGCAAAGCAAGAAGTTATTGGAGCTTTTCTGAGATTCCTGATGGCACAACATGGCTCCAACCTTACTTTTCTCTGGCCTCAGGTAAGGATAACCACTCAGAAGTGGGCACACTCCTAAGTGTTGATTGGCTTTTTGATAAAACCCTGATAAACCGAGGCTGAACCACAGCCTAGGAAAGGAATAAACAGACGGCAGGCTGATCAAGTGTGGTGCTGCTTTGGACAGTGGAGAGGGCAGATGTGTCTCTCTGCACATCATTTGTATCTCCCTCTGTAATCACTTCATCCTCTTGTCGTTTATCACTTGCCCACATTTCATACACACAGACAGCACATCTTATTTAGCTTGTGTCTATGATTTCCTCCACCTGACTGACAAGCACAGGTCCCATCAGTTCTCTCTGTTTTCAGTGCCAGTGGGTAGCCAATCAGTCTTTCAATTTATATGTGGAAGCTGCAAAATCCTGAGAAGGAACATGCACTATCAACCTTTCAAAACCAGTTTTACCACTCCCAAAAGATATAGTAATTAAAAAAAAAAACTTTGCAAAAGATACAACAAAGAAATAGGATTTCTTCCTTATATTCTCTTCTAAGAGAATTTTGAAGTCTTTTCTTTAATAAGAAAAAACTACATTTCTGACAAGAAGGGAAGGGGAGAAGAAAGAGAAAGAACGTGAGAAAAAGAGAGAAAAGAAGACATTCTCTCCTTAGAAAGAAATCATGTTTGCTAACTCATCTATTCTTTTTCTGGTAAATATAGTGTAGTGAATATTTGAAATCATAAATTCAGTTTCCTGAGTTCTAAATACCCATTTCAAGTATTAATGAAACGTTATTATGATACTTTCAAATTACTGAGTATAAAATTAGGGGAGAAGCCTAAGCTTTCAAAAGACTATAAAGGAACCCAGAAGACTAATGAATGATTAATAAAAAGACAAATAAACAGGAAAAATAAATAAATGAGCCTGACTTGATCCTGAAACTGAATTTTTATAAACCAAACCACAGTATCCAAAATGGAAGTCAGCCAGTTCCTTTCCCTCTTTTTTTTTTTTTTGTTTTCGTTTTTGTTTCTGTTTTTAAAGCATCAGCAATAATGTTAAGGATGTCTCTTTTGTAGCTTATTTCATTTGTCCCTGAATTGGAGACAGTAAGTTGGGAAGTAACAGAGGATTGTGGTAATGGGTCTAAGTGCAAAATGTTGTGTAAGTACCTAACTAAACAGTAACTACCCAAGAGGGAGGAGGCTAGTAAAGACCTAATAGAATTATACCACATAAGATTATACATATACATGTATTTAAATAAATTTCATTGTGCATATTTAAGGAATACAACATGATATTATGAGATAATATATACATCATTTTGTTTTTGTTTTGTGGCAGAAGCAACTAAAATCCACTCATTTAGCACGAATCCCGATGCATTACGGTGGTTTGATTGCCTGTGATCCTCACATTGTCTCTAGACTTGGGTATCCTGCATATCTGCTACTCCAGGCCCCAGGCTACTCTGTTGTCATTTTATTTATTTATTTATTTATTTATTTATTATTTATTTATATTTATTCATTTTGAGACCGAGTCTCCTCTTGTCGCCCAGGCTGGAGTGTAGTGGCGTGATCGCGGCTCACTGCAACTTACGCCTCCCGGGTTCAAGAGATTCTCCTGCTTCAGCCTCTGAGTAGCTGAGATTACAGGTGGCCGCCACCACGCCCAGCTAATTTTTGTACTTTTAGTGGAGACTGGGTTTTGCCATTTTGGCCAAGCTGGTCTCGAACTCCTGGCCTCAGGTGAGCCGCCCGCCTCGGCCTCCCAAAGTTCTGGGATTACAGGCGTTAGTCACCGTCCCCGGCCGTCATTTCTTAGCAATATTTCTTTTTCATGTCTGCATTTAAAGTTCATTTTAACTTTATTGTTCTAAATAAATCTGTTCAGAAATGGGAAATTGATTTTCTGAAGCCCCACACTTCTCTAGAAATAAGGGAATTATTTTAACTGGCTCTTCTGTATCAGGTACCATAGAAATCAGGTAAGTCCAGGACGTCACTTAGGTTAGGAGCTTTACGTGTCACAAAAGAACAAAGTATAACTATTACATCAACATTTTTACTCAACACCCTACCCCTGGTGAAAGTCCTGGGTTCCTCTTCTGTAGATTGCTGTTCTGGGGGTATGAATACGACTTAGCCCTGCAGAAGAGGTGGTTCCAGACTTTCTGGAGTCTCTGATGTTATAACGCAACAGCTATCTACACACTCACTCTAATTATGCTTAAGGATATTTGGAGTTACATACATCTCTTTGGATTTCTTTTTCACAATACATATGCTTAAAAATGTTCTCTATTTTATCTTAATCCTTTTCTTTTCAGTGAGTCTAAGAACACACAATGTCTCCACTATTCACATTTGCCAAAATATGTGCACATTAAGGATGGTGACCTACCAACTATCAGCACTGTTTAGAACAAAGAAATGCTTTGGGGAAATTATTCTCTAGGTTTAGCTACACAAAAACACTTTGAATAATTTTATTATCAGTTTGAAATAACTTCGTGATGTACAAAGTTGTTTCCCAAAGGATGGTGCTATAATTGTCAAGAATTAGTAGTTAATTAAAGCAGGTTACCAGAAATAATAAATAATACTTGGAATTAAAAAAATGCTGTGGTCTTATATGAGCCCTTGTACTTAAGTATCTCAATTCTAGATTAACAAGAAGCAGGCAAATGAAACATTTTCATTCACAGGCAAAGACAAACTACTGAATATAATTTACTGGGTCTGGTCTAGTCAAGCAAGACTAGATAATATATGGTTGTAATAATACATATATTTTGGCATCCCTACGAAACCCCATTTCCACCATTTCCCACAAATATAACATGATTTCAAATGTTAAGAAAGAATTGAGAGTTTTTAATTTTAGCTGAGAATACTTTTATTCTTTACCTGTGGAGATATGTGAACTGATGACTATGAGTGTATTTCCCTTAGAAAGAAAGACATAAAATAGGAGCAGAAGTTACTCATCTGGCAATGATAGTAAATATCCTCCTACCAGAAACTCAAGTTTCTCCTTGAAGATGCCAACTTCAAATGAATTTTAAAGATTTATTTTCCTATAGTTTTATTGATTCCTTGATTTGGTTTTAGCATTAAAAAGCAAACAAGGTCAGAGGCTATATCTTCTTTAATACATGGCTTAGTAAAATGAGATGGTACATCACACAGATGAAATATCTGACAGCAGTCTTACAATAACAAAATACTACCTTATGGGCCCAGGACAGCAGGTGGTTATCCCATCCTGGAAGAGCAGAGGAGGGTGGGCAGCCCCATTTCTATCTCCCCCGCAGAGGGTTCAGTGTTGGATCTGTTGTTCTTGAAGTAAAGATGCAAATTTAAGGGGCAGCAAGAACAGCAGCAGTAGCATAGCTTTGTGACAGCATTTTCCTTTGATGGGCATCCTGATAAACTCTTTAATGATGAATCATTTAATATATATAACTGGCCTATAAAATCAATTATAATCAATATGATTACACTGCCACTTGACCCCACACATATCTTACAACAAAGACTCTGTTTTTAAACACTTTATTAACATCTCTCCTTTTATTCAATTATTCTTGCAACTTTTTTCTTTCCAATCTAGCTTATGTTAAAATATTTAATTGACAAAGATTAAAGATATTTAAGGTGTCTAAAGTGGTAACTTGATATACGTATACATTGTGTAATGACTGCCACATTAATTTACATATCAATCACTACCCATACATTAGACCCCAAGAATGGGTTCATTTTATAACTGGAAGTTTGTATCTTTTGACAAATATCTCTCCATTTCCCCACCCACTCAGCTCCTGGAAACCACTGTTCTACATCCTGCTCTTATGATTTCAACTTTTTAAGATGCTACATACAAGTAAGAACATACAGTATTTACTTTTCTGTGTCTGGCTAAAGAAACATAGTGTCCTCCAGGTTCATCCATATTGTTGCAAATGTCAATGATATTCCACTGTATAAATGTTCCACAATATTTTTTATCCATTCATTAATTGATGGATGGCATAGGTTGTTTACATATCTTGGTTATTGTGAGTAATGCTGCAATCAACATGGGGTTTAGATATCTCAAGAAACTGGTCTATGTCCTTTTAATATGTACTCAGAAGTGGGGTTGCTGGATCAAATGGTAGTTCTACTTTTAATTTTCTGATGAACTTCCATACCATTTTCAATAACGGCTGCATGACTTTACAGTCCTCCCAACTGTGTACAAGGGTTCCCTTTTCTCCACACCCTTGCCAATATTTGTTATCTCTTGTTTATTTCAATAGTAGCCATTAGGAAACGTGTGAAGTGGTATCTCATTGCGGTTTTGATTTGCATTTCTCTGAAATGCTCAAGCTCCTTTCGTAGATCTGTCAGCCATTTGTATGTCTTCTTTGAATGAAATGTCTATTCAGATCATTTGTCCATTTTTTAAATATTGAGTTCTCCAAGTTCCTTATAGATTTTAGATACTAACCATATCAGATATATGGCTTGCAAATATTTTCTCTTATTCTGTAGGTTGCTTTTACATTTTGTTGATTGTTTTCTTTGCTGTGTAGACACTTTTTAAATGTGAGGTCTAAAAGCATAAAACTTCTGGAAAAATACATGGGGGTAAGGCTACTTGACATTCATCTTGGCAATGATTTTTTGATATGACACAAAAGCACAGGTAATAAGCAAAAATAAACAAGTGGGACTACATCAACTTGTGTTCATTAAGCTTCTTCTACGTGCTAAGCAAAAGTCCTTGCTGTCATGAAATTTGCATTCTAAGAGGGATGGGGGAGAAAGACAATAAATGAATAAACAATGAATATATTCAGATAAGAAATGCTATTTTGGGCCAGATGCAGTGGCTCACGTCTGCAATCCCAGCACTTTGGGGGTCCTAGTCATGTGGATCACCTGAGATCAGGAGTTTGGGACCAGACTGGCCAACATGGTGGAACCCCATCTCTACTAAAAATATAAAAATTAACTGGGCGTGGTGGTGTGCACCTGTAATTCCAGCTACTAGGAACGCTGAAGCAGGGGAATCGCTGGAACCCGGGAGGCGGAGGTTGCAGTGAGCAGAGATTGCACCACTGCACTCCAGCCTGGATGACAGAGCAAGACTTCATCTCAAAAAAACAAAATGCTATTTGGGAAAATGAAGCAAAGTAAGAAGGAACAAGGAATGTAGCAGGGGGGTGATGCTCTTTTAAGGAGGCAGTCATCTTGGTGAAGATTTTGTGGATGACAATTGAGGAGCATCTAGGAAAAATTTTGTCACCAGCCATGTAGCATAAGATCATCCCAGATAAAATTGCATGTGGAAAGGACCTAAGGCAGGATCGTCTCTGATATGTTCAAGAAACAGTGGGGAATCTAGAGTGAGCAAGAGTCATGGGAGGCAAGGTTAGAAAAGTGGTGGGAGGCAGATCACATAGCCATTATTAGGACTGAGTGGTGTGAGAGATCCTGGCTTGCCTGTAGAAAAGCCATGCCATGATCTGACTTGCATCCCAAAGGTTCACTCTGGCCTCTCTGCCGAGGACAGTGGGTAAGTGTTGAAGAAAGGAAACTCATCAGGAGGCTACTGGAATAATCTGAGGGAAAAGGGGAATTGTGACTGCTTGTATCACTGAAATTGCAAAAACTGCAGAATTTACTGATGGATTTCACATGGGGCCTGATAATAGGAGAGTATTCAAAGATTGCTGTAAGTTGTGGGACTTAAGCAACTGAAATGACTAAGTTAAATATGAAGCAGTATGTGTGTAGTATCAAGAGAGGGACTAAAAGCAAAAATGTCTAGACAGCAAGGATGGAGAAGGTATGGATGAAGGGATAAGGAGATGGAGAGCAGGGTGAAGAGAGAGAAGAGACAGACCCTGAAACCATGACTTGTGAGTTTGAAGATAAGGTGGTAATAGTATATGAGGTAATCTTTAAAAGTTCTGGATAAGCCCTATTTATTTGGAACTCTGTGAATCGAAATAAAAAGCAACTTTAGAGGTAGATATAAACCAGATAGTATTATTCTATTCAAAAGTTAATAGAATAGAGTAGAAGCGAAGATTCCCATTTATATTTTGCCATTCTCAGAAGTTAACATAAGCCGGTAGTGGGCATGGTGTGCATTTGCTTCCGGAATACCTGGTCCCACAGATGCTTGGCAGGGTGAAGGATGGGCATAGGTTAACATTAGGTTAACATGCGCCTTTAGGGCTCACAAGCATTTATGACGACATTTTATTATAAACCATCACTGATCGAAAACCTTTGTTCTCCTCTGTGGATACATCTTTGATTTTTATAAATCTGAGTTTGTTCGGAAGCAACTCTCATGACAAGGCCATTTAAATCATGATGAGGAATGGCGGTCAGAAAATGAGATGCCATCATAAAATAACAGAACTGCTTTCTTTGTGTGGCTCTAAAAGTACCTCCAAACATACCTTGAGCAATAAAATAACCAGAAATGTAGCCAGTTTCCCAAAATGATTTCTTTAAAAGATAAGTCTATTATGGACACATCCATTGATGTATTATTAAAGAAGCCTTACATCATAGTCACAAGTTTAATAAGGTATTGCAGTAGAAGGGGAATATATTAATTAGTACAAGCTGCTCTTGATTTTATTTCTCAATTTATTTTGATGAGTTTCTTGGGTGGTGTTTTTTAACTGGATAGAAGGGGTATTGATGAGTCTGTTAGCAACCAGGAAATGTCTGAGGTTTCAGGTACAATGTAGGGTTCTTTACTTATCCTAAAAAGATTTAGAGAAATAAAGAAGATGAAGATAAAAAAGATACAGTTCCAGCCAAACTGAGAATTTGCTTTTCACTCTTTATAAAAAGGATGTTTTCCTCTTGTCTTTTTTTTTCCTCTTTATTTTCCTGGGAGAAAAGAGTATGAGAAAAACACATTACCCAGAATGAACCTGAGAAGGATAGAAAATAATAAAATCAAGTGATAAGTTACAAATGAGAAGAGTCCAGCAAATGAAATATCTATTAACAACGAAGATAAAGAGAATGTATAGGGGCAGACGAAAAGGAAAGGTAGTAGAAGAAAGACATATAGACTCAATCACAGACAGGGTCTGAAAATTAAATGCCCTAACAAAAATGGGTTTGCAGACAGATAAAAAAGAAAATGGGAAGAGCAGACAGGGAGGGATAAGTAATGCAGCTTGTTCCTTCACAGACTGCAAGCTGGCTTTAGAGAGAAAAAGTCATTAATATAGCTTATTCACTCACACATTGTCAAGAAGAATCAACCAAACAGGGCCCTTTGGTTAAAGAGCAAAGCTGCTATTTGCACCGCTGGCTGTGAATCTCATCATAAAGCCAACATGTGGAATAATCTCTGGGATGAGAAACAGGAGACCCAGAATCTAATTCCAGGTCTGTTGTGACTCACTAATGCCCATTAGGAAACCTCTGGGCCTCAGCTTCATCATCTACAGAATGGAAGAATCAGGCTAAATGGTTTCTAAGTTCCCTCTGGATCTGGTGTTTAATGACTCATACAAGTCTTCCATCAAATGTCTAGTATTTGACTCAAAAGTGACAGAAGGATAAATTAGTCAACTTCAGACTTCTTGATTATCCTTTTTGATTTGTCTTCACTTTTATTCCTAGGGAACAGCCTTGACAAATTTTTAAAACATATGCTTGTTACATTATTAATTTGTCTACCTTTCAAATCTCATAATTTATTAAATCCAATCAGTCTGGCAATACCCATGAAGAAAATGTGATAATTTTTCCTTCTGGTTATCTAAAATAGCATCACAAGATGTACAGAATTAGCGTTTACTAGAGCATTATCTATGTGATGTCAGAGTCCTCTGTAACTGGAACTTCTTTATTTTGAAGAATGCGGGTAATGGAATAGATCTGAGAAATTATCTAATGATTACATCACGAAAGAATTAACGGCATGAGCTATCGCGCCTGGCTAAGAATTATCAAATAATTTTTCAAATTTTTTATAGTTTTTAAAAATTTCAACAGCTTTTGGGGAACAAGTGGCTTCTGTTTACGTGGATAAACTCTGTAGTGGTGAATTCTGAGATTTCAGTGCCTCTGTTCCCTGAGCAGTGTACACAATACCCAATATGTAGTCTTTTATCCTTTACTCCCTCTTGCCTTTACCAAGCCCACAAAGTCTATTATAACCCTCTGCATTTCTTTGCGTCTTGATAGCTTAGCTCCCGTTTATAAGAGAGAACACAAAATATTTGGTTTTCCATTCCTGAGTTACTTCACTTAGAATAATGGCCTTCAGTTCCATCCAAGTTGCTGGAAAAGACATTATTCTGTTCCTTTTTACGGCTAAATAGTATGGCATTGTGTATATATACCACATTTTCTTTATCCATTTATTTTTTTCTTATTTATTTATTTATTTATTTTGAGCCGGAGTCTTGCTCTGTCGCCCAGGCTGGAGTGCAGTGGCGCTATCTTGGCTCGCTGCAAGCTCCACCACTCGGGTTCATGCCATTCTCCTGCCTCAGCCTTCCGAGTAGATGGGACTACAGGTGCCCGCCACCACGCCTGGCTAATTTTTTGTATTTTTAGCAGAGATGGGGTTTCACCGTGTCAGCCAGGATGGTCTCCATCTCCTGACCTCGTGATACGCCCGCCTCGGCCTCCCAAAGTGCTGGGATTACAGGCGTGAGCCGCCGCGCCAGCCTATCCATTTATTTGTTGATGGGCATCAATCAAAGATTGGTTCCATATCTTTGCAGTTGTGCTGCTATAAACATGTATGCGCATATGCCTTTTTCATGGAATGACTTCTTTTCCCTTGGGTAAGTTCCCAGTAGTGAGAATGCTGAGTCAAATGATAGATCTACTTTTAGTTCTTTCGGGAATCTCCATAATGTTTTTCATAGAGGTTGCACTAATTTACATTCCCATCAGCAGTGCAAAAAAGTATGCCTTTTTCACCACATTCACACCAACGTCTATTAATTTTTGACGTTTTAATTATGGCTATCTTTGCAGGAGCAATGCAGTATCTCATCATGGTTTTAATTCCCTGATAATTAGTGATGCTTACATTTTTTTGTATGCTTCTTGGCCATTTATATATTTTCTTTTGAGAAACATCTATTTATATCCCTTGTCCACATTTTGATGGAATTATTTTAGGGGGCAGAAGGGGGAGGCTGTGATTTGTTTGAGTTCCTTGTAGATTCTGGATGCTAGTTATTTGTCGGATACATAGATTGAAAATATTTTCTTCCATTCTGTGGGTTACCTATTTACTCTGCCGCTTATTTATTTTGCTGTGCTCAGAAGCTTTTTAGTTTAATTAGGTCTCATTTATTTCTTTTTGTTTTTGTTGTATTTGCTTTTGGGGTCTTAGTCATTAATTCTTCGCTTAGGGCTGATGTCTAGAAGAGTTTTTCCAACATTGTCTTCTAGAATTTTTATGGTTTCAGGTCTTATATTTAAGTCTTTGATCATGTTGAGTTGATTTTTGTATAAGGTGAGAGAGAGGGACCAGTTTCATTGTTCTACATGTGGTTTGCCAGTTTTCCCAGCACTGTTTCTTGAATAGAGTATCCTTTCCCCAATTTATGTTTTTGTATGCTTTGTCAAAGATGAGTTGGTTATGAGTATTTGACTTTATTTCTGAGTTCTTTATTCTGTTCCATTGGTCTAAGTACCTATTTTAAAACCAGTACCATGCTGTTTTGTTAACTATAGCCTTGCGTTATAATTGAAGTGTGGTAATGTGATGCCTCCAGATTTGATTCCTTTCATTAGGATTGCTTTGGCTGTTTGGGTTCTTTTTTGGTTCCACAAGAATATTAGGATTTTTTTTTTCTAGTTCTGTGAAAAATAATACTGCTACTTTTATGGAAATTGCATTGAATCTGTAGATTTCTTTGGGCAATATGGTCATTTTTACAATATTAATTCTCCCCATCCATGATCATGAGATATGTTTCTATTTATTCATAGATTTCCTTGGGCAATATGGTCATTTTTACGATACTAATTCTCCCCATCCATGATCATGTGATACATTTCTATTTGTGTCATCTATGAATTCTCTCGGCAGAATTTTTTAGTGCTCCTTGTAGAGATCTTTCACCTCCTTGGTTAAGTATATTCTTTTTTTTAATTATACTTTAAGTTTTAGGGTACATGTGCATAATGTGCAGGTTAGTTACATATGTATACATGTGCCATGTTGGTGTGCTGCACCCATTAACTCGTCATTTAACATTAGGTATATCTCCTAATGCTATCCCTCCCCACTCCCCCCACCCCACACAGGCCCCGGTATGTGATGTTCCCCTTCCTGTGTTCATGTATTCTCATTGTTCAATTCCCACCTATGAGTGAGAACATGTGGTGTTTGGTTTTCTGTCCTTGTGATAGTTTGCTGAGAATGATGGTTTTCAGCTTCATCCATGTCCCTACAAAGGACATGAACTCATCATTTTTTATGGCTGCATAGTATTCCATGGTGTATATGTACCACATTTTCTTAATCCAGTCTATCATTGTTGGACATTTGGCTTGGTTCCAAGTCTTTGCTATTGTGAATAGTGCCACAATAAACATATGTGTGCATGTGTCTTTATACCTGCATGTTTTATAATCCTTTGGGTATATACCCAGTAATGGGATGGCTGGGTCAAATGGTATTTCTAGTTCTAGATGCCTGAGGAATCGCCACACTGACTTCCACAATGGTTGAACTAGTTTACAGTCCCACCAACAGTGTAAAAGTGTTCCTATTTCTCCACATCCTCTCCAGCACCTGTTGTTTCCTGACTTTTTAATGATTGCCATTCTAACTGGTGTGAGATGGTAACTCATTGTGGTTTTGATTTGCATTTTTCTGATGGCCAGTGATGATGAACATTTTTTCATGTGTCTTTTGGCTGCATTAATGTCTTCTTTTGAGAAGTGTCTGTTCATATCCTTTGCCCACTTTTTGATGGGGCTGTTTGTTTTTTTCCTGTAGATTTGTCTGAGTTCATTGTAGATTCTGGATATTAGCCCTTTGTCAGATGAGTAGATTGCAAAAATTTTCTCCCATTCTGTAGGTTGCCTGTTCACGCTGATGGTAGTTTCTTTTGCTGTGCAGAAGCTCTTTAGTTTAATGAGATCCCATTTGTCTATTTTGCCTTTTGTTGCCATTGCTTTTGGTGTTTTAGACATGAAGTCCTTGCCCAGAAGCATTCCCTTTGAAAACTGGCACAAGACAGGGATACCCTCTCTCACCACTCCTATTCACCATAGTGCTGGAAGTTCTGGCCAGGGCAATCAGGCAGGAGAAGGAAATAAAGGGTATTCAATTAGCAAAAGAGGAAGTCAAATTGTCCCTGTTTACAGATGACATGATTGTATATCTAGAAAACCCCATCGTCTCAGCCCAAAATCTCCTTAAGCTGATAGGCAACTTCAGCAAAGTCTCTGGATACAAAATCAATGTGCAAAAATCACAAGCATTCTTATACACCAATAACAGACAAACAGAGAGCCAAATCACGAGTGAACTCCCATTCTCAATTGCTTCAAAGAGAATAAAATACCTAGGAATCCAACTTACAAGGGATATGAAGGACCTCTTCAAGGAGAACTACAAACCACTGCTCAAGGAAATAAAAGAGGATACAAACAAATGGAAGAACTTTCCATGCTTATGGGTAGGAAGAATCAATATCGTGAAAATGACCATACTGCCCAAGGTAATTTATAGATCCAATGCCATCCCCATCATGCTACCAATGACTTTCTTCATGGAATTGGCAAAAACTACTTTAAAGTTCATATGGAACCAAAAAAGAGCCCTCATTGCCAAGTCAATCCTAAGCCAAAAGAACAAAGCTAGAGGCATCACGCTACCTGACTTCAAACTATACTGCAAGGCTACAGTAGCCAAAACAGCATGATACTGGTACCAAAACAGAGATATAGACCAATGCAACAGAACAGATCCCTCAGAAATAATGTCGCATATCTACAACCATCTGATCTTTGACAAACCTGAGAAAAACAAGCAATGGGGAAAGGATTCCCTATTTAATAAATGATGCTGGGAAAACTGGCTAGCCATATGTAGAAAGCTGAAACTGGATCCCTTCCTTACACCTTATACAAAAATTAATTCAAGATGGATTGAAGACTTAAATGTTAGACCTAAAACCATAAAAACCCTAGAAGAAAACCTAGGCAATACCATTCAGGACATAGCCAAGTATATTCTTATGTATTGTACTTTTTTGCAGCTGTTGTAAAAATTAAGTTATTTATTTGATTCTCAGATTTTCATTAATTGGTCATCATAGTATAGCAGTGCTACTGATTTTTGTAGATTGCTTTTATAACCTGAGACTTTACTGAATTTGTTTATCAAATCTAGGAATCTTTTGGATGAGTCTTTAGGGTTTTCTAAGTATATGATCATATCATTGGTGAATAGCAGATTTGACTTCCTTTTTCCCAATTTGGATGGCTTTTATTTGTTTCTCTTGCCTAATTGCTCTGGCTAGGACTTCCAGTACTATATTGAATAAAAGTGTTTTGAAAGTGAGCATCCTGGTCTTGTTCCAGTTCTCAGGAGCAATGCTTTCAACTTTTCTTCATTCAGTATGATGTTGGCTGTGGGTTTGTCATATATGGCTTTTATTATTTTGGGGTATTCAAAATAATACCAAAAATAATTTTGAGGTATTCTATTCCTAGTGTATTGAAGATTTTTATTATAAAGGGATGCTGGATTTTATTGAATGTCTTTTGTGCATCTATTCAGATGATCATGTAGTTTTTGTTTTTAATTCTGTTTATGAGATGTATCGCATTTATTGATTTGCATATGTTAAACCATCCCTAAGATAAAACCCACTTGCCCATGATGTATTATCTTTCTGATGTGCTGTTGGATTTGGTTAGCTTGTATTTTCTTGAGAATTTTTGCATCTATGTTCATCCGGAATATTGGTCTGTAGTTTTCTTTTGTTTTGTTATGTCCTTTCCTAGTTTTGGTATTAAGGTGAACTGTCTTCATGCAATGATTTGGACAGGATTCCCACTTTCTCAATGTTTTGGAATAATTTCAGTAGGATTGGTACGAATTCTTCTTTGAATGTCTGATAGAATTCAGCAGTGAATCTGGTCCTTGGTTTTTATTTTTTTATTGGCAATTTTTAAATTACTGATGCAATCTTGCTGCATGTTATTGATTTGTTCAGGATTTCTACTTCTTCCTGATTCCAGCTAGGAGGTTTTGTGTTTCCAGGAATTTATCCATTTCTTCTAGATTTTTTATTTTGTGCACATAAAAGTGTTCATAGTAGTTTTGAATGATTGTATTTCTGTGGTGTCAGTTGTAATGTCTCTAGCTTTATTTCTAATTGATTTTATTTGGATCATCTCTCTTCTTTTTTTGGTTAATCTCACTAATGGTCTAACAATGTTTTAATATCTTCAAAGAACCAGCTTTTTGTTTCATTTATATTTTCTATGTTTTTGTTTCAATTTTATTATTTCTGCTCTGATGTTTGTTATTTCTTTTCTTTTGCTGACTTTGTATTTAGTTCCTGTTTCTCTAGTTCCTTGAGGTGTGACATTAGATTGTCAATTTGTGTTACTTCAGATTTTTTGATGCAGGTATTTAACTGTATGAACTTTCCTATTTGCACCAATTCTGCTCTATCCCAGAGGTTTTAATAATTTGTGTCACTATTATTACTCATTTCAAAAAATTTCTAAATTTTCATCTTGATTTCACTGTTAACCAAAAATCATTCAGGAGCATATTATTTAATTTCTATGTATTTGTATAATTTTGAAGGTTCCTTTTGAAGTTGATTTCAAATTTTATTCCACTGTGGTCTGAGAAGACAATCGATATGATTTCGATTTTCTTAAATTTATTAAGACTTGTTTTGTGGCCTATGATGTGGTCTATCTTGGACAATGTTTCATTTGCTGATGAAAATAATGTATATTCTGCAGTTGTTGGGTAGAATATTCTGTACATAGCTGTTACATTTGTTCAGAGTGTAATTTAAGTCCATTGTTTCTCTGTTGAGTTTCTGTCTCAATTATCTTTATAGTGCTGTCAGTGAAGTATTGAAGCCCACCATTATTATTGTGTTGTCTATCTCATTTCTTAGATCTAGCAGTAATTGTTCTATAAATCTTGGAGTTCCAGTGGTAGATGCATATAAATTTAGGATTGTAATATGTTCTTTTTAGATTGATCCTTTTATCATTATATAGTGATGTTCTTTGTCTTTTTTTTTTTTTTTTTTACTTTTGTTGCTTTGAAGTCTGTTTTGTCTGATACAAGAATAGCTACTCCTGCTCGTTTTTTATTTCCATTTGCCTGGAATAAACTTTTCCACTCCTACACCTTGAGTTTATATGAATCCTTCCATGTTTGGCAAGTCTCTCAAAAACAGTAGATATTTGGGTTGTGATTTTTTTAATCCATTCTGCCATTATGTATCTAAGTGGAAAATTTATTTCTTTTGGTGCATATCAAGTTTTTGTTTCAAGGTTTAGTCCTCCTTTTAGCATTTCTTATAGTGCTGGTTTGGTAGTGGCAAATTCTCTCAGCATTTTTTGTCTGAAAAATGGTTTTATTTCTCCTTCATTTATGAAACTTAGTTTTTCTGGATACAAAATTCTTGACTGGCAATTATTCTGTTTAAGGAGGCTGAAGATAGGACTTCAGTCCCTTCTAGTTTACATAGTTTCTACTGAGAAGTCTGCTGTTAGTCTGATAGGTTTTCTTTCACAAGTTATTTGATGCTTCTGTCTCACAGCTCTTAGAATTATTTCCTTCATGTTGACTTTGGGTAACCTGATGACTATGTGCCTTGGCAATGATCCTTTTGCAATGAATTTTCCAAGAGTTTCTTGAGCTTCTTGTATGCAGATATCTAAATCCTTAGCAAAGCCAAGGAAATTTTCCTAAATTAATCTCTCAAATAAGTTTTTCAAAATGTTAGCCTTCTCTTCTCCCTCAAGAACACCAATTATTCTTAGGTTTAGCCATTTTACACAATCTCATATTTTTTGGAGACTTTGTTCATTTCTGTTTATTCTTTTTTCTTCATTTTTGTCTGATTGGGTTAATTCCAAACTCTTGTCTTCAAGCTCTGAAATTCTTTCTTCTACTTGCTGTAGTCTACTATTGAAGCCTTCCACTGCATTTTGTAATTCTCTAAGTGCATTTGTCATTTCCAGAAGCTCTGATTGGTTTTTCTTTATGATATGTATCTTTCTAGAAAATGTTTCATTCATATCCTGAATTTTTTTTAAATTTCTTTATGTTGTTTTTCACCTTTCTCCAGTATCTCCTTGAGTAGCTTAATAATCAACCTTCTGGATTCTTTATCTAGTATTTCAAAGATTTTATACTGGCTTGGATCAATTTCTGGGGAGCTAGTGTGATCTTTTGGGGGTATCATAGGACCTTTTTTTTTATTATATTACCAGAAGTTACTTTTCTGGTTCCTTCTCATTTGGGTAGACTATTGTAATTGTTCTTGACTTTATTTTTTTAACGATATTTTCCACCTTAATGATGTGACTTAAATGTTTATTGTTTATTATAACTTAATTTTGTTCTTCATCCCCTTTAAGGGTGAGGACTCTGTATGAGTTCCTTGGTTATAGAGACTATTTGTATGACGGCTTTCTTAGGTGCTCATTGTACTACGAATGTACACAGTGTGTGGGCAAGTCCCTTGTCTCTTATGAGGCTGAAATGGCATAGGTCTCTTGAAGCTTATCTCATTTTCCCCTAGTGTGCACTATTTTATTTATTTATTTTTCCCCAGTATTTTATTAACTGAGTTGACGGTTCTGGCTTCAGGTCAGTAGTTGAGGTGTCCTTGTGTAAGAACCGGTTTTTGCTAAAGCAGGTGGGTAAATGCAATATCCAACGGTGAGCAGAGGTCTCACCCTTGACAGAAATGGCTGTGGGAGCTCTCAGTGAAATACTATGAGGTTTTATCAGCAGGGAAGGGTAGGAGTCACTTCAGCTCCCCTGCCAGGTCATCAGGAAAGCTATCCACCTCTCAGATTCATTTCTTCCCCAGTGTTCTGGCTATTCAGATTAGACAAGCACCTCTTTTCATCTGTAGGAATGTTGATGTTCCAATTAAAGAGGAATTGTGACTCAGCCTCTCATGCAAGCCTGAACCTGGGGGGTACTCCTCCTGTGAGGATGCAGTCACTCTGAAGTGTTTCAGGAAAGATGTCTATAGGTGCATCTATGCCAAGCTCCCATGCGAGAAGCCCCAGCTATGTCTGCAGTGGTGGACAAGAGGGGAAAGAAGCCCCCTTCTCCACGACTGTTCACAAACACCAAAGCTACCTGGCTTTTGGAGAAGAGCTACTGACTTTCCCTGCTAAGCCTAGCAATGAAATTGTGTCTCTGCTGAAAGTAACTTCCCACGAGTGGAAAGATCTAGGACTCAAGGCCTCCCATCTGGATTCTTTTGTCCTGTGGGGTGTTCCCTTGATGTGGTGCTCTTCCCCTTCTCCTAAAAGTAGGAGTTCTTGACAGCCAAATTATATGGATAATATTGCTCTTTTAGGCCTAGCCACCCAGTTGGGCTGCCACACTCCAGGCTGGTGCTGGGGAATGTCTGCAAAGGATCTGGTGATATGACCTGTCCTCAAATCTCCCAGCCCAGGATCAGCTCTGATGAGGGTAGCAGGAGAGTGATGTAGACTCTCTGAGATTCCTTGGTTATAGATAGCCTTAGCGTTCTTGAATACTGGCTTTCTCAAATGCTTGTCTTAATAGCAGTGAACTAGACATGTTGACAGACTAAGTACTTCCTGGTTAGCCAGGGTGTTGCAAGCAATGGTGACAGATTACATCACACACCAGTTTTCTCCTTTATCGGTGCAGTGTTATTCTACCTAGAGTTGCTGTAATGAACTGCATTAGTTGGCTTCCAACCAGGAAGTGGCATTTGCAAAACAGCACCAGCTACAGTAGTAACAGTGGGATGTGAGCTTGTTCTATGTTGCTCAGGGGAGGTATTCTGGTTTCTCAGGGGAAGAGTGGGGCCATAAATCTCCCAAAAGTTTCTGCCCTTTGTGTTAAGCTACCAGGGCAGGTGGGGGGGAACAGACAAGCAGGGGCAGTGTCAGAAAGGTCTGTGCTCTGACACTCCATGTGCAAGGCAAGCTGCGGTCCCTGTGGGTGTCAGGGAGTAGGTGGTTCTCAGGCTACTGGAGTAAGGTTCCAATAGGGAGTGTAACTGCCTCTGCTGCACAGAAGGTTTTGCACAGGGAGTGGAGAGTAGCAGGTGGTAGTAAGCCTCACCTAGATTCTACACAGTTGGCAAGGCAGATCTCCCTCCTGCATTACTCCAATAAAAGCACCCAGCTAAGCTCTAAGCAGCCTGAGTTAAGAACTCCACCTGTCCCAGGCCATAAGCTTTCCCTGTGGTGATAGCAACTGTAGCAATTGTACCATTCAGGGCATGCCCCTTTCCATCTGTATGCAAGTCCAGGTGCCCAGTTCCTGTGCTGGTGGCTGCAGCACACTTCTGGCTCACCCCTCAGGTTCTGGCCAAGGGAGTTTGTCCCCACTTGATGTTATATTGCAGAATTCAATTGGAAGCTTCTATCAACCTGTAACCTCTGCCTGAGCTAGCTGGCTGACTTCCCCAAGGTCTCCTGTGACATATAATAAGGAATGGCCTCCCTAGGTTGGCACTAAAGACTGGGAATGCCTGCCAGGCATTTTCCACCGCCGTTTCTTCTTTTATATTTCTCATCACTCCCTAAATCAGTTCCAGATCTGGGTAGGGTTAAGGTCTTCTCTGATAGCCTGAATTTTCAGGTTCCTTTGTGGGGATGTGTATCCTGGAGGCAGTTTCTCCCACTCCCATACTCTGGGGACTTAGAATTTTTCACCTGTCTCATGGTGAAGGCTGCAGCCTGCCACTTCTTTCAAAGGGTCTGTAGATTCTTTCCATTTTTCTGTTAAGTTCCTGCATTGCTTCTTGGAAAAAAATATACAGTGTTAATCTCTACACATTATTCTTTCCTTCCAAGTGCCCATCAGGCTATTGGTGAACTTCTCGGTAAAAACCTTATAAGCCAGAAGAGACTATGGGCCTATTTTCAGTATTCTTAAATAAAAGAAATTCTAGGGATGAAGCCAACCTTTTCACTTCATCCCTGGGACACAAGCTGGTTCAACATACACAAATCAATAAGTGTAATCCATCAAATAAACAGAACCAATGACAAAAACCACATGATTATCTCAATAGAGGCAGAAAAGGCCTTTGACAAAATTCAACACCGCTTCATGCTAAAAACTCTCAATAAACTTGGTATTGATGGAGCATATCTCAAAATAATAAGAGCTAGTTATGACAAACTCTCAGCCAATATCATACTGAATGGGCAAAAACTGGAAGAATTCCCTTTGAAAACCAACACAAGACAAGGATGTCCTTTCTCAACACTCCTATTAAACATAGTATTGGAAGTTCTGGCCAGGGCAAACAGGCAAGAGAAAGAAATAAAGGGTGTTCAATTAGGAAAAAAGGAAATCAAATTGTCTCTGTTTGCAGATGACATGATTTTATATGTAGAAAACCCCATCATCTCTGCTCAAAATCTCCTTAAGCTGATAAGCAACTTCAGCAAAGTCTCAGGATACAAAATCAATGTGCAAAAATCACAAGCATTTTTGTACACCAATAACAGAGAGCCAAATCATGAGTGAACTCCCATTCACAATTGCTACAAAGAGGATAAAATACCTAGAAATACAATTTACAAGGGATTTGAATGACCTCTTCAAGGAGATCTACAAACCACTGCTCAAGGAAATAAGAGAGGACACAAGCAAATGGAAAAACATTCCATGCTCATGGATAAGAAGAATCAACATTGTGAAAATGGCCATATTGCCCAAAGTAATTTATAGATTCAATGCTATCCCCATCAAGATACCTTAGACTTTCTTCACAGAATTGAAAAAACTACTTTAAATTTCATATGGAACCAAAAAAGAGCCTGCATAGCCAAAACCGTCCTAAGCAAAAGAACAATGCTGGAGGCATTATGCTACCTGACTTCAAACTATACTACAAGGCTGCAGAAATCAAAACAGTAGGGTACTGGTACCAAAACAGATATATAGACCAATGGAACAGAACAGAGATCTCAGAAATAATGTCACACATCTACAATCATCTGATCTTTGACAAACCTGACAAAAACAAGCAATGGGGGAAGGATTCCCTATTTAATAAATGGTGCTGGGAAAACTAGCTAGCCATATGCAGAAAGCTGAAACTGGATCCCTTCCTGACACCTTATAAAAAAATTAACTCAAGATGGATTAAAGACTCAAAAGTAAGACCTAAAATCATAAAAACCCTAGAAGAAAACCTAGGCAATACCATTCAGGACATAGGCATGGGCAAAGACTTCATGACTAAAACACTAAAAGCAATGGCAACGAAAGCCAAAATTGACAAATGGGATCTAATTAAACTAAAGAGCTTCTGCACAGCAAAAGTAACTATCATCAGAGTGAATAGGCAACCTACAGAATGGGAGAAAATTTTTGCACTCTATCTATCTGACAAAGAACTAGTATCCAGAATCTACAAAACTTAAACAAATTTACAAGAAAGAAACAAACAACCCCATCAAAAAGTGGGCAAAGGATATGAACAGACACTTCTCAAAAGAAGACATTTATGTGGCCAACAATCATATGAATAAAAGCTCATCATCACTGGTCATTAGAGAAATGCAAATCAAAACCACAATGAGATACCATCTCACACCAGTTAGAATGGCAATCATTAAAAAGTCAGGAAGCAACAGATGCTGGAGAGGATGTGGAGAAATGGAAATATTTTTACATTGTTGGTGGAGTGTAAATTAGTTCAAACATTGTGGAAGAAAATGTGGCAATCCCTCAACAATCTAGAGCTAGAAATACCATTTGACCCAGCAATCCTTTTACTGGGTATATACCCAAAGGATTATAAATCATTCTACTATAAAGACACATGCACACGTATGTTTACTGCAGCACTGCTTACAATAGCAAAGACTTGGAACCAACCCAAATGCCCATCAATGATAGACTGGATAAAGAAAGTGTGGCACATATACACCATGGAATACTATGCAGCCATAAAAAAGGATGAGTTCATATCCTTTGCAAGGACATGGATGAAGCTGGAAACTATCATTCTCAGCAAACTATCGCAAGGACAAAAAACCAAACACCACATGTTCTCACTCATAAGTGGGAGTTGAACAATGAGAACACATGGACACAGGGAGGGGAACATCACACACCGGGGCCTGTCTGGGGGTGGGGGGCTAGGGGAGGGATAGCATTAGGAGAAATACCTAATGTTGATGAGTGGCGCAAACCACCATGGCACTTGTGTACCTATATAAAAACCTGCACATTCTGCACATATACCTCAGAACTTAAAGTATAATAATAATAATAATAATAATAAAAGAAATTCTAACCAAGAATCTTATGTCCTGTCAAACTAAGGTTCATAAGTAAAAGAGAAATAAAATATTTTCCAGACAAGCAATCACTAAGGGAATTTATTACCACTAGACCGGCCTTACAAAATATTCTCAAGGGCATTCTAAGCATGGAAATGAAAGAAAAATACTTGCTACCACACACATACACAAAACACTGCATTGAAATACATAGTCCAGATATCCTATAAAGCAGCTAAACAATAGAAACTACAAAGCAACCAGCAAATGATTTCACAATAGGATCAAAATTTCACATATCAATATTAACCCAGAATGTAAATGGTCTAAACACCCCACTTTAAAGACACCCCACTTTAAGGACAGAGTTGCAAGCTGGATTAAAAATAAGACCATTTGTCTGCTGTATTCAAGAGACCTATCTCACATGTAACAACACCCATAAGCTCAAAGTAAAAGGTTGGAGAAACATCTATCTTGCAAATGGAAAACAAAAAAAGAGCAGGGGTTGCTCCTCTTATATAAGATAAAATAGACTCTAACCCAACAACAGTAAAAAAGACAAAAAAGACAATTACATAATGATAAACGACTCGATTCAACAAGAAGACATAAACAAAGCAACAAGGAACAAGTACTTCTAGACTTGCAAAAAACCTAGAGAGCTATACAATAATAGTGAAGGACTTCAATGCCCCATTCACAGTTTTAGATAATCAAGGCAGAACACTAATAGAAGTTTTGGACTTAAACTTGACACTTGATCAGTTACGCCTAATGGGCATCTACAGACCCCTCCACCCATCAACCACAGATTATGCATTCTTCTCATCTGAACACAGAACAGATCATGAGATTGACCACATGCTCTACTATAAATCAAGTCTCAATAAATTCAAAAAAATTTAAATCATACCAACCATACTCTTGGACCACAGTGAATAAAGATAGAAAGCAATACTAAGATGATCTCTCCAAACTATACGATTATATGGAAATTAAACAACTTGTTCTTAATGCCTTTTGAGTAAACAAAATTATGGTGTAATAAAATTTAAAAACTTTTTGAAATGAATAAAGACAGAGACACAACATATCAAAATCTCTAGAATGAAGCCAAAGCAGTGTTAAAGGAAGAGTTTACAGTGCTAAAAGCCTACATCAAGGAGTTAGAAAGATCTAGAATTAATCTAACATTATGCCTGGAGGAGCTAGAGAAAACAAGAACAAACTAACCCCAAATCCAGCAAGAAAAAAAAAGAAATGGCTAAAATTAGAGCCTATCTGAATAAAATTGTGAATCAAAAATTCATAGAAAAAATCAAGGAAACCAATTGTTGGTTTTCTGAAAAAATAAACAAAATCAATCCAACCACTAGTTAGATTAATAAAGAAAAAAAGAGAGGAGATCCAAATAAGCACAATCAGAAATGGCAAAGGAGATTACAACTGACTGTATAGAAATACAAAGGATCCTCAGAAACTATTATGAACACCTCTATGCACACAATGAGAAAATCTGGAGAAAATGGATAAATTCTTGGAAGCACACAACCTCCTAATAATGAATTAGGAAGAAACTGAAAACTTGAACAAACCAATATTAAGCTCTGGATTTGAATCAGTAATTAAAAACCTAACAATAAAAAAAAGAGTAGGACCAGATGGTTTCACAGCCAAATTTGGTTTCACAGCCAAATTCAAATGTACGGAGAAGAGCTGATACCAATAATACTGAAACTACTCTAAAAAATTGAGGAAAAGAGACTGATCCTTAACTCATTCTTTGAAACCAACATCACCCTGATATCTGAACCTGGTAAAGACACACCAAAAAAGAAAACTACAGGCCAATATCCTTGATCAGTATAGACACATATGTTCTCAACAAAATACTAGTAAACCAAATCCAGCAATCACATCAAAAAATTCATTTACCATGATTGAGTGAGCTTTATCCCTGGGATGCAAGGTTGTTACAATATAAGTATATCAATAAATGTAATTCATCACAAAAACAAAACTGAAAACAGAAACCACATGATCATTTCGATAGATGCAGAGGCTTTTGATAAAATCCATCATTACTTCATAATAACCCTCCCCCACGTAAGAAACTAGGCATTAACAGAACATACCTCAAAATATTAAGAGCTATCTATGACAAACCCACAACCAACATCATTCTGAATGGGTGAAAGCTGGAAGTGTTCCTCTTAAGAACAGGAGCAACACAGTAATGCACACTCTAACCATGCCTACTCAACATAGTATTGGAAGTACCAGCCAGAGCCATCAGACAAGAGAAATAAAAGACATTTAAATTAAAAAAATACAAAGTCAAAATATCTATCTTCACTGATGATATGATGCGTAGAAAACTTTAAAGATTGTGCCAAAGGGCTCCTAGATCTGATAAACAACTCCAGTAAAGTTTCACGATAAAAATTAGTGTACAAAAATCAGTAGCATTTCTGTACACCAATAATGTTCAAGCTGAGAGCCAAATCAAGAGTGCAATCTCATTTACAATAGCAGTTAAAAAAAAAAAAAGAGAAAGGAAAAAAAAAAAAAAACAGGGAATACATTTAACCTAGGAGGTGAAAGATCTCTACAAGGAGAACTATAAAACATTGCTGAAAGGAATCTGAGATGACACAAACAAATGAAAAACCATTCCATGCTTACAGATTGGAAGAATTATATCATTAAAATGGCCATACTGCTCAAAGAAATCTACAGATTCAATGCTATTCCTATCAAACTACCAATATCATTTTTTCAAAAAATTGTAAAAAACTATTTTAATTTATATGGAACCAAAAAGGAGCCAAATATTAGTCAAAGCATTTCTAAGCAAAAAGAACAAAGCAAGAAGCATCAAAAGAACCAGCTTCAAAATACTCTTAAAGCTACAGTAATCAAAAGAGTATAGTACTAGTACAAAGACAGACACAAATACTGCCCAATGGAACAGAATAGAGAACACAGAAACTAAGCAACATACCTACAACTATCTGATCTTCAACAATGTCAACAAAAATAAGCAATGTGAAAAGAACTCCCTATTCAATAAATGGTACTAGGGTCATTAGGTAGCCATATGCAGAAGAATGAAAGTGGACCCCTGACATTTACTATATACAAAAATTAACTCGAGATGTATTAAAGATTTAAATTTCAGGCCCCAAACCATAAACATCTTAGAGGAAAACGTAGGAATTACTTTTCTGGACATCAGCCCTGGCAAAGAATTTATGACTAAGTCCTCAAAAACAATTTCAACTAAAACAAAAATTGACAAGTGGTACCCAATGAAACTAAAGAGCTTTTGCACAGCAAAGGAAACTATCAGTAGACTAAACAGGCAACCTACAGAATGAGAAAAAAATATTTGCAAACTACGCATTGGACAAAGTTCAAATATCCAGAATCTATAAGGAACTTGAACACGTCAACAAACAATAAGCAAATAACCTCGTTAAAAAGTGGGCAAAGAACATGAACAGACATTTCTCAAAAAAGGATATACTAGCAGTCAACAAGCATATGAAAAAAATGTTCCATACTAATTATTAAAGAAATGAACATCAAAACCACAATGACATACCACCTTACACCAGTCAGAATAGCTATTATTAAAAAGACCAAAAAATTAACAGATGCTGGCCATTCTGCAGAGAAAAGGGAATGCTTATACACTGTTTGTGGGAATGTAAATAGGTTCAGCCACTGTGGAAAGCAGTTTGAAAATTTATCAGAGAAGTTATATCAGAACTACCATTTGATCTAGCAATCCCATTACTGGGTATATATTCAAAGGGAAATACATTTTTTTTTTTTTTTACCAAAAAGACACATGTACTCATATATTAATAACAGCACTATTCATAATAGCAAAGACATAAAATCAGCCTGCATGCCCATCAATGGTGGATTGGATAAATAAAATTTGGTAAATATATACCATGGAATGCCAGCCATAAAAAAATCAAAATTACTTATTTTTTTTTACAATAACATGAATATAGGTCGGGGCCATATCCTAAGTGAATTAACTTAGGAACAGATAATCAAATACCACATATTCTCACTTGTGTGTGGAGCTAAACGTTGGGTTCATAAATAGGTAAGAGGGGAACAACAGACCTGGGGATTACTAGAGGGAGGAGAGGGAGAGGCAAGCAGGGGCTGAAAACACCCTATGGGGTGTTATGCTGAGCACCTGGGTGATGGGATCTTTCATACCCCTAATCTCAGCATCATGAAATATAGTCATGTTACAAACCTGCACATGTTCCCTCAAATCTAAAAGTTGAAATTATTAAAACATTAAAACATAAAAATAAAAGATAAGAATATGATAAAGGAAAGCTTTTTGAAATTAAAATAATTGCGGTACAATTTAGAAATTATTTTTTAAATGTCCTATCTAGGCTTTTATCTGCTATAATAAAGGTATGAATTATTCCTCAAATACTTACAAAATTAAGTTCTAGATGAAATTTTACATGTTTGAAGTGAAGAGAAAACAAGGCAACATGTATGCACACTTGATTTGCAGACAAAATAAATTTACCCTTTAGAGTGTTACTGAAAAAAAAAGACAAAACAAGCAAGAAAACCTACTTTGTTTTATGTAACAAGTAGTCTATTAATTTTTAAAATAACCAAAACACATTAGACCTCTCTGTACTTTCTGCTTAATTTTGCTGTGGACCTAAAACTGCTGTAAAAAAAAAATAAAGTCAATAACAACAACAATGCTGGGCCAAAATGTCAGCCTTTATAAAAAATTATTTTTCAGGACTAAATTTTCTTCTTGTTGACCAAATGTCCAAAATGATAGACTGGATTAAGGAAATGTGGCACATATACACCATGGAATACTATGCAGCCATAAAAAATGATGAGTTCATGTCCTTTGTAACAGGCACATGGATGAAGCTGGAATCCATCATTCTCAGCAAACTATTGCAAGGACAAAAAACCCAAACACCACATGTTCTCACTCATAGGTGGGAATTGAACAATGAGAACACATGGACACAGGAAGGGGAACATCACACACCGGGGCCTGTTGTGGGATGGGGGGATGGGGGAGGGATAGCATTAGGAGATATACCTAAGGTTAAATGACAAGTTAATGGGTGCAGCACACCAACATGGCACATGTATACATATGTAACAAACCTGCACATTGTGCATATGTACCCTAAAACTTAAAGTATATATATATAAAAAAAAAGTTAAAGTATTTAACTATTGGCAAAACCTTGGTTTCTTACCTATTTAAATGAGGTTGAAGTTACCTGCTTGAAGATTCCTCTTTCGTAGATCTCAGTCATATTATTCAGCTGGACTTTCTGTTCCCCCAGACAGGTCAAGGAGCTCAAACATATTATCTGGATACAACAGAAGTACCCCTTTCTGTTTTAACTTCAGTATTTTTAATCTTCCTATAGAAGAAAATGTCAACTTTAAATACACTGATGCAATTGAGGTCAAACACCTCTCACTTGGTCAGTCTTCTTTTTCTCAAACTGTCCATTAATTTTAAATATTTAAAACCTCAAGAATGAACTTCAATCAAACTAAAATAAGGGCAGCCATTCAGGCCCAGTGCCAACCAGTTTGGGGGAGATTATTACATAGGTCAGGAAAAGGCATGACAGTGGAGCACTTCAATGTATCCATAGTCATAAGGATATATAAGATTTAGAGCCATTTGCATAGCTAGCTCACCTTCCTCACCATCAGTATTTCTGAACAGGGGAAGTCAAAATGTAAGTAATGTGGGAAAAGCATAAAAGAGTAACATAACATATATTTTTGAAGTGACATATATGTGAAAATAAGAATGCTGTTTCCATTGGTGCCCATGTCACTTAGGTACCATTGGACTTTAATTTTTCCAAGTCACAGTTTCCTTAACCCTTCAAAGGAAATAATAATTCTGGCTTCAAGATTATAGTGAACCACAAAAGAGCTGTGATTCTATAGTACTTAGCAAAGCATAGAAAAGAGCAAGTACTCATAAATGGTAGGTAAAGATAGCAGTACTTGGAATGATGATGTTGAAAGGAATGTTGGTAATTCTGGTATGGGCATTGTTTATTTCTGTCATGGCAGTGATAGTAGCAGTGGAGGCTATAGGCACAGCAGCAGAAGCAGCCATAGTGGGAATATGTTCAGCAGTAATTATATGCTGATTGTGTTGAAATTCCTGAAAAGCAAGGAAGGACCTAACTCCATCATGCTTTCTATCAGGGGTCAGCAAACTGCAGCCCGCTTCCCTGTTTTGTATGGCCTGAAAGCTAAGAATATTTTTTTTGCATACTTCAATGGTTACATTTTAAGTAGTTATATAGCTACTTCCATAATATGTTCAATTTTGCTGCTTTACCAAAAAATATTTACCATCTAACCCTTTAGAGAAAAAGTTTGCTGATCCCTGCCCTATATCCTTGATTACTGCAAGACATTCAGGATGTCTCTTATCTCTTGTCCAAATGCTTCTCAGATCTCCTAATTTGACCCAAGTTAATGGTCTCTTTGTAATACCCATATTCTCAGCAAAATGTCCTAAATTCTCCCTGTATTCTTTGTTTCTAATCTCCTGATGACATATTTCTGTTTTCTCTCCCACATAGTGGGTAACTTTAAGCCTAAAGTGAGGAATACAATCTTCACTATTTTTCATAACACCTTCTTTTTATTATTATTATTATTATACTTTAAGTTTTAGGGTACATGTGCACAACGTGCAGGTTTGTTACATATGTATACATGTGCCATGTTGGTGTGCTGCACCCATTAACTTGTCATTTAACATTAGGTTTATCTCCTAATGCTATCCCTCCCCACTCCCCCTACCCCACTAAAGGCCCTGGTGTGTGATGTTCCCCTTCCTGTGTCCATGTGTTCTCATTGTTCAATTCCCACCTATGAGTGAGAACATATGGTGTTTGGTTTTTTGTCCTTGCAATAGTTTGCTGAGAATGATGGTTTCCAGCTTCATCCATGTCCCTACAAAGGACATGAACTCATCCTTTTTTATGGCTGCATAGTATTCCATGGTGTATATGTACCACATTTTCTTAATCCAGTCTATCATTGTTGGACATTTGGCTTGGTTCCAAGTCTTTGCTATTGTGAATAGTGCCACAATAAACATATGTGTGCATGTATCTTTATAGCAGCATGTTTTGTAATCCTTTGGGCATATACCCAGTAATGGGATGGCTGGGTCAAATGGTATTTCTAGTTCTAGATGCCTGAGGAATCGCCACACTGACTTCCACAATGGTTGAACTAGTTTACAGTCCCGCCAACAGTGTAAAAGTGTTCCTATTTCTCCACATCCTCTCCAGCACCTGTTGTTTCCTGACTTTTTAATGATCGCCATTCTAACTGGTGTGAGATGGTATCTCATTGCGGTTTTGATTTGCATTTCTCTGATGGCCAGCAATGATGAGCATTTTTTTCATGTGTCTTTTGGCTGCATAAATGTCTTCTAATTAAACTAAAGAGTTTCTGCACAGCAAAAAAAAACCACCATTAGAGTGAACAGGCAACCTACAGAATGGGAGAAAATTTTTGCAATCTACTCATCTGACAAAGGGCTAATATCCAGAATCTACAATGAACTCAAACAAATTTACAAGAAAAAATCAAACAACCCCATCAAAAGTGGGCGAAGGGTATGAACAGACACTTTTCATAACTCTTTCATACTATTCTCCTTCTACCTAAAAATCCCAAGTTTGTTTGAAGTTCATAGTATCAACTTACTATATTACATAGGGCCTTTAATTATGATTTATTAACAGTCAATTCAGTATCTTACTGACTTAAAATAACAAAAATATTGTTTCTCATTCACCTAACCTGTCCATGTCTGCTCACTGGAACACTACTCCATGTCACCATCATTTTGAGACCAGGTGGATAGAGCCTGCATCTTGTCATTCACTGTGGCAGAGAAAAATAGACATGGAAAATTGTATTTTGGCTCTTGCAAATGGCTTTCCAAGAGGTGACATCTCATGCTCACATTAATTGACTAAAGCCATTCAAATGAACAGGCATAACTTCTTGGGCGCATTTCCTACCAAATGACTTGAAAACGGAGAATATAAACTATTTCTGAACTTCATGAATCACTCTCCTTCTTCACCGCCTACTATGTCTCTTTATTTTGCAGTCCTCTGTGGATCTTGAGGCTCTTGTCCCTAATTCCTTTAAATGTTAACACATGGCTCATCTCTCTCTCCCACAATTTTTGTCCCAAGACTCACATAGTTAATCTCCACATAGATTACCTTTCCAGCATCTGTCACTGAGTTGTTTGACTTTGTCATCATTTCACCTCAGTTACCTATTCCCAGGGTCATAACCTAGACCTTGGAATTACTATAACTGCAACACATCCATAGTCTCAAGCAGCCATTCTCCTATTAACGTCTCCCATTTTTCCATCCCAGACCTACTTATTTTTGAACTCTAACTTTCACCCAACCACTGGGACTTCCAATCCATTAACCTTATCGAATTTTCACTGTTGATTTCCATCCCCTTGTGCCTTTATTTCTTCCCCTATTGTTCTCATATTTCATAGCCCATCATTATAGTCACTCCATTGCAATGTTTTTCAGCTCCTTTGTCCCTCTCTTCCCGCTTTTTACATATTTAACAAAATGCAGCTGGGATTAAATATTGGTCTCTTCCTACTCCAAATCTGGACCCAAATTTCCAAGTGGCCTTAGAAAAACACACAATCTTGCTGACTAGTATCACTTAAAATTCATGATCATACATTTCAAGTGGATTCTTGGAATTTCCCAGAGAGACAAGAATATTCCCATAATCAACACACTCTGCCACTCTCTCCTAGGTCCTTGCTACTCAATGTGTGGTCTAAGGGCCAGCAATAGAGGCATTGCTTTGCGCTTGTTGTTATAAAAGCAGAATCACAAACTGCTCTCTGACTCAAAGTGTAAGAATCTGCATTTTAACAAGACACTCAGATAATTCTCATGTATATTAAAATCTTGGACTCTTTATTCTAAAAAAATTGTCTCACATTGGCTGAAGGTGCTCAGTCTTCTTTGCAATTTCTGTTTACCTTCCTAACTTCTAACATTAGGATGCTTTAGGGCTCATTCATCAGACCTGTTCTTCATCTACACTTAACATGTCAGTTTAGATCATCCAGTCCCCTCCCTTTAAATACTTTCTAGAACTGCAATGGCCAAGTATATAATTCCAGTCAAGTCTTCTCCCATGTACTTATATTTTTGCATCCAGTTCTCATCTACTGTGTATCTCCACTGGCACATGTAATAGGTACCTCAAATTCAACATATCCACATATCCAAAACAAAATTATCCATTTCTTGATCCATCCCTCCCCAACCACCAATCTGCTTCTCCTATAGACTTCTCTATCTCAGTAAAGGCAACTTCATTTTTAATGTTGGTCAAAACAAAACCGTGGCACAATCCTGATTTCTCTCTCTTTTGTGCCTTACTTCCTGTCCATCAAAAAGTCTAACCGGCTGCATTTTCAACTATATTCAAAATCTGACCATAAAACTTATCCATTGCTAATACCCCAGCTGTAACCATCATTATCCTTCATGTGACATATTAAAAGCCTTCTAACTGGGCTTCCTTCTTTCACCTTGACCCCTTGACCACGTGGGTTCACCATCCATGGATCCAACAAACCAAGTATTGACATGTGATGCAGAACCTGTGGATATGAAGGGCCAACTTTTATATTGAGAGCTTCACAGGGCCACCTGTGGGATTTGAACATCTGCAAGTTTTGGTATCTGCAAGGGTCCTGGAACCAATACCCCATGAATACAGGCAGATGACTGTACATATAAAAGTCTCGATTCTGTGTAGACACACAAGTATATTTATAGTAAAATGGAAGATAATAAAACACACCCAAATGCTGATGATCAGGTTCTATAAATTATAGACTTAGTATTAATACTCTATCCTGCTTTTCCACCTTGCATTTTGTCATAGGAATTTTATATAAAATAATTAAACAGTCATATAATGATTAAAATCATTAGAATCTACATTATTAGCTCCATAATTTAGCCATTCTCTTACTATTAGAGCTATTTAAGCTACAATTTCTGAATTTTCACTGTTTTAAAAATAGCGAAACCTCCTTATACATAAATCTTTACTTATATTTCTAATTATTTTTTAAGACAGATTCTAACAGGTTGAATTACTGGGTTAAACAGAATATTCAAAAGACTCCTGATGAAAATAATCAAATTAACCTTCATAAAATATATGGTAATTAACATTCCTGTAAGTAGAATCTGCAAATTTAGATGCTATCACACACTTGATAGTCCGAAATTTTTCATTCATTAAAACATTGCCAATAATATAGATAAAATATTTCATTTTCATGAGAATATAGTAATGGATGTGATCAATTTTCCATGTATTTGGAGACCAATTCTTAATGCTCATGTCTGCTTAGTACTCCTGACTCTCAGAAATTGGCCAGGGAGGCCTGATTCCTTCCTCTGTAGTAAAAAAAAAAAAAAAAAAATTACTTCATTTACTCATTAGAATCAGCCTCTTGCCAAGCAACCTTTCATTATTCTTTTTCTAACGTTGACCTGACCCAGTGGCACCTTGCAATTGATTGAGCCAACATCTAATTAATGGGGTTTGTATTGATGGTAAATAAGCCACACTGTAATTTATAATGACTTTATTTCAGGAGTTATTTACCTATGGGAAAATGAGATTTTTTTTTCTCTGTGAATTCAAACAGTGTCTCACTCAGAATCTCCAAATACACCCAAATAGATGTAGCACAAGAATGTTATATCTCAAGGCTTCCCAAGACAATATACCAAACCCACAATTTATCCATAGAAATGATAAACGGTTAATTGTTTCAATGTGATTTTCATGTCACTGTTATATCTTTCCTAACCAAAATAATTTATTGAACTTGCCTTACACAGTATCTTAAGTTTTACCATGATAGTGACCCTTTTGCTAATGAATTTCATTGCTTTCAGATGTGCAACTCCTTACCAGGAATCAGCATTCACGCATGAGGCTCATTTAACTCACTGTCAGTCTTGGTCATTTTGGTCCATCTTTGATGAAAACTTATAGCTGAAAAAATTGTAGGTTGCAAGGAAGGACATTTCAGAATATAAAGCATTATTCAAGGAAAAGTAGGTTTTAGTGAGATTCCAAAGTTGGGGATGGTAAGATGGAAGTATACCCTGGGATTAATAATGCATTGGGAAATAAATTGGCAGTGCCTGCCTATAGAGCTACATTAAAAAATATTCTGGGACTAGACACGGCTCTTGTGGGAAATATTATAGTCAAGAAATGATAACTTCTAGCACCAGCAGATGAGGAAGGTGTAATATTACAGGTGCTGTATATTTGACTACACCGCATATTTGACTACAGTTCTCAAACACGAACTTGAGTTAGTATGCCCTAGAGGGTTTATAAAAACACAGATTGCTGGGCCCCAACACCAGAGCTTCTGACTAGGTAGATCTCGCTGAGGCTTGATCTTGAGTATCTGCAAGTGGTGCTGATACTGCTGGTCAGGGGCCACACTTTAAGAAACATTGGTCTAGAGTGTTAGATGCCATCTGCCTACTGTTGAGGACTGAAGGAATATGGAGTTGAGAAATCGATTACCTTGATCTCTCTGCTGAAGATTGAACACATTCAACCTGTTTTTGAACCTATAAAACGGAAATCTCTGCATAATATAATTCTGTTACAGCATAGGAAGCTCTTAGAATAAATTCTTATGGAACTTAACAGACTAGGGTTGCCAGATTTAGCAAAAGAAAAGAAAAAACCAACAAAATATTTTTATTACAAATATGCCCCATGTCATATTTATGTGAAATTCAAAGTTAACCAAGAATTCTGTATTTTATCTGGTGATGCTATATCTAACTAAACAGCATGTAAAAGCTTATAGAAAGGAAGAGTGCAACAAATCCATGTCCTAAACCAGAGATACAAAGGACTTAAACAAAGATTGCAGAAACACCATAGGACTAAATATGAATCCTCCGAATCCTCCTCCTCAAAATAGATGGTGCTCTGTAATACTGAGACAATGAAGGATAAAAGTCCAAAACGGAGTAGAAAGAAACCAAATAAATGAAGTGATTGGAACTACATCTGTGTTACACCTCTTTCACTCTCTCACCATGTGAACTTGTCCTGTCATAGTCTTAAGCGATCCAAGCAGCAGAGCAAGGAAACAGCTGGAAACTAAAAACATTTCCTACACGAGGCTGCATTAGCTTATATGCAATAAGGAAAACTGGGTATCTTTAAAATTGAATTTAATGCAGAGATTTGCTTTTAAGCCAATGTCTTAAGAAGAGATAAAAGGGGAAGGTAAATTTAGCCCAAAATGTATAACTAAAGGTGATTTCTGCCCCCCATAGAACTGAAGAAGCAGAGGAGTGTTACACCCCAAGTCCAGGATCACTGTCCCATTGAACATGCTGTTGTTGGATCTGAGCTACTTTATCTGGAACCAAGACACACAAAATGATAGTAGCTATTGCTACTGTTTTGTAAAGCACCGACAGAAGCTAGAAAAAAATACATCTTTTCTTCTTCTTCTAATTTCACTTCAATATTTCCCATTGGCTGAACGTGATGGAAAGCCAGTTGAAAAAGGAATGTTGAGAAACATAACTCATAATAATTTATAGGCATCCAGTCCTTGTTTCAAGGAAAGCATATTAAAGGATGAACATGAAGCTGAAAGACTATAGACACCATTTGGGAGAGTCCATTCCAGATGACTGTTCTTCATACTCATTCTTTCCATATTTAAACTTCCAAACAACAACTTTAACGATGTCAGGTTTCCACATAACTAAAAGAAACAGATATCTTTCATAAATACTAAGATAGACATTATTGCCTCTGAAAAGGGCACATATCAATTCAAATAAGTGACTAGATAATATTAATTCCACTTCCAGTTTTGTTAAAAGCCCACCTAAACAGATCATTAGCTAAAGACTTTTGTACCTCCTCTTACATAATATAGTAGGAAAAATGGAAAGGAAAATATAAATACTACCTAATACATGTACATAACAAACAATAGGAAAATGTGAGCAGTTACCACAGTCTTCATTTCTGCAACTATCCATGAGAACATAGTTGATGTTATGACTTCCTTAGTCTGTGATCTATCCAACGTTCCCCATGCCCCAGCAAACATGTCAGCTGATTAGTGTTCTTTACCTAATTATTTATTCCTGAATTTCTGATTACTTGTTTGTCCTACTATTATTGGATTTCTGTCATCTTCCACTAATGTTTACTTCTGTGCAGAGAAGTACTAATACTAAGAGACAACCCAGAGAATCCCCTGGGTCTCTTAGTTTCTCCTGCCTCTGTGGGCAGCAGCATCCTATTTCACTTTAATAAAAATAAGTGTACAGTACAGTAACCCCATATTTGCCTCTTGATTTGATGGCATGAGGAACTCAAAATGAGCAGGTAGCAGCTTCAACCTTAATTTCATTGAAAACAACGTTGTGATGCTTAAACGTTTTCCTCCTGGGATCTAAAACTCCTAAATCAGAAAAAACTCAAGATTCTGGAAATGGGAAGTGAATGTTTGTGAGTGGGTTGTTAGAGGCATTAGTGACAGGAATCACTTGCTTCCACTCTTTACTTCTAAACTGCTGTATCTTGCTGTGAGGGAAACAGCATGGTCCATTCACCAAAGGTTCTAAGCATATATCACACTCTACGGGAAAACAGCCCAAACTCACAAGGTGTTGTCTTTCAACTGATAGCAAGTGAATCATCAGACTGCCTCTATCATTCTATGAGGCCAGATGCTGTAGAATAATATGCTACATCCTATAACCATGAGCTCTATACAGCATGATTTCTGCCCCATGTAACCTACTTTTCCATGCAATTTTATCTGTGTTGAAGATCTTACTGAGCTCAATATCATATATGGTACTAAAATGCTAAAATGCCAAAGTGCTGGTGCTACTATCGATTCTCTTACTATCGCTGACTGGCAACACCTTCTATTTTCCTTCTCCTACCTTCTGACCTCCAGTAATTCCCCACTGGAAGAACCTAACAGAAATCTGCCCAGGAAAAGAGTATGAAATGTAATAAGCAAATTTCTAGCCCCATTGATAAAGAAATGTCTGTAAGACATTCACAAGTACGAAGCTGAGAAACAGCAAACACCATCCAACACAAAGAGGGTCCTCAGAGAATATTAGGATGGAACATCATAGTAATCATCACTCACTCCTTCTCCCAATGTCAAAGCTACTATTAACTATTTAAACTAATTCTTTCTTGGTCTAAAGCCCCAGCCCCTACTAAGAAGGAAATTTCTAATTTTTTGTTTGATGGGCAAAATTGAGTCTTACAGGATACACAAAGAAAAATAATAATAAACAAAATACTACCATCATTAATCTAACAATTACTGAGCCCTTAATATGAGTCAGATTTTTTTCTAATCATTTTATCTTTATTATTTCACTGTGCTCTCAATCTGATGAAGAATTACTGTTAGAGTCCTAATCTCAAAGATGCAGAAAGAGGCATAAAGAAGTTGGTTTGCCCAAGGTTACCCAGCTAGCAAATGCCGCAGCAGAGATACAAACCCAATCTCTCTAGCTCCATAGTTGATGCTCCCAGTGCTATGATTATTCTGCCTTTCTGGCCTAATCTCACTTTCATAGCCAAGGCCTCTTATGTTCTAACTGACATATTTTTTAAGAGGTTAACCGAGACCAAATTTAGGTTAACTGTCTCGTTGGGCTTTATTATCAACATACCTAAATGAAAGAATTAACTATGTTGACATATATTAGACACATGAAAGCTATGACTTGAACCTGATTTCCTGTTATGTGAACATGGGTCTAACAAACAGGTACCATTAAAGGAATAGCACAATGTCTGGCACGTAACAATGAAAGAACAAATACATGTCATGTGAATGGATTAATCATTTCTCTATGCACAGGTGTACTGTGCATCCACCATGTTTAATACAGAATAAACCCCCTCTTTTCTATATGATGTTTAAGAAGCTTCTTCAGGCTAGGTGCGGTGGCTCACACCTGTAATCCCAGCGCTTTGGGAGGCCAAGATGGGCAGATCACATGAGGTCAGGAGTCGAGACCAGCCTGGCCAACATGGTGAAACTCCGTCTCTACTAAAAATATAAAAAATAGCTGGATATGGTGGCACATGCCTATAATCCCAGCTACTCAGGAGGCAGAGGCAGAAGAATCACTTGAATTCAGGAGGCGGAGATAGCAGTGAGCCAAGACCTTGCCACTGCACTCCAGCCTGGGTGACAGAGCGAGACTCCATTCGCTGTCCACCCCCACCCCCTAAAAAAAGCTTCTTTAAATATGATATTAGGCATCTGTAAATTACTTTAACTTCATCTTTCATTGCGTCTCAAATCTCAGTCTAACATCTATATTTTTAAGAGAGAAAGGCAAAACTTACCAATACTTCTCAGGAAACTAGACAAAGTTAAGGTTATAGGGCCACAAAGCCCAAAAGACATTTTACAGACATTTTCTGAGGTCAGACACCATGGAAGCAATATATCAGGGAGTCCTAAGTAAGGATTTGACTCCTGATGCCCTCTCTAAAGTCTTGAACACAGTTTAATTATCTTGGAGTTATGAATAATGTTGAAGCCAATTAAAATAAGGTTATAGTTTCAAGGGCAGACCCATAAAAATGAGCCTCTGGTTTTCACAGCAAACACCAAGAGAGTCTTTAGACATGAGAATTCCTGGTCATCCTGGCCCTGTATATAATCACAAGTCTTGATTCTCATTGTCCTTAGCTAATAGAAATGGAGATTGTAACGTGGACATTATTATCCTCTCATGAAAAAATTAGCAATAAACGTCCTGATTGTCCTTTATCCTAGTAATATGTCTGGCCCAAAATAAAAGATAAAGGAGTCCCCTGATGAAATCAATAAAATAGAAACAATGACCCAAGGATCGTTTCTCCAAGTGATGTTTTTCCAACTTGTCATTCTTTTCCCTTTATGCACTTATCTCCATGCACTGCAAGGCTTCTTTCCTCCTGCTATCAGGAAGAAATTATTCAGTGTACTCCCTTTACTATGACTTTGGTCCATTTCTCTACTACGCTTCATCAAATTCCTTCATGAATGGCTCCACTTTTCCTTGCCCCAAACCCTTAGACAGCTGATTTCTATGGCACTCTCTTGCAAAATGACTTTTAATGGGTCAGCGAACCCTTAATTCACTCTTCTCTTTCTGGTCCTTACAATATAAAAAGGTCAGACTGAGAGAGTGTTCAGTCAGTCATTCATCTGCAAAATAAACTTTTACTTCTTGGCCGGTTACCCAGGTGCTGATCTTCTTCTGTTCTATTTCCTAATGTGTGTACATATTTTGATTTTTTAATGAAATCTTAAGGTGCACACTTCATACCTAACTGCATCCCCACAGCAGGTATCTCCTTAGTGTGACAGGCGAGAGCATTATGCTAAGTAGATAATCACAACAATTAACTGAAAAGGTTATAATTTCATCCTGTTTGGTACTGTTGGCCTGTCAAAAATAATTAGGTTAAAATAGATCTCAAGACTCCCTCTGCAAATTTAGGGGAGAAAATAGAAGAAGAAAGAAAGAAAAAGGTGACAGCTAAGAACTTTTTACTTGGCCAAATTAAATGTTCTGAAATTTCACTGCTGGCTGAAACACTAGAGAGCTATTTAATAGAAGAATCCTTTCAACTCAGTTGGAGGTATTTGGTTTCTGTTTCAATGCTTCTCAATACAAATATTGAAAATGTATAAGGCAAAATTTCAAGGCACAAGTTCTGACCAGAAAGATAATCTATCAACACTTACAAGGAAATGAGAAAAATATATAGAAATAGTTTTCTTTACAGTTCTGACTTCTACCATCAATTTTGCTAGCACTCATGCTTGTATTTGTGTTCTAGGTATTTGTGTTCTGGCATCTTGTTTCCACTCACAGCCTAATTAGCTGTGGGATTTGGAGAAACTCATTTATGTCTTTAGCCACCACTTTCATTACTAAAAATTAAAAGCTCAAACTAAGATGGTAAAGTATTACACAGATTTAACATTGTTTAATTATATTAAATTTTCCCATACCAAAGATGAACAGACTTCAGTGACAAAAGTTTGATTCAGTCACAGCACTATCACTGCCATGAAAAGAGAGATTTTCTGTTTGATGTCATTGCTTTTATTCCCTTCTGTTCCTACTGTTTGTCTTGGAGGTGGGATTAGATGATTATTATCATCTAATGCGTGCCCTCAAAAGACTTTCAGTCTATCTGGTGAAGCTGAACCTAAACTTATGACATAACTAGAAAAAGAGAATATAAGGGACAGAAGACGTGGGCTCAAAGCCCAATATAACATATTGTGGCTAGTCTAGGAATTACAAAATCACTGTGGCTTATATCATAGACTGCTTGGGAATTTCATGTAACATTTTTTCAGACTCTAAAACAAACTATATATATGTATTATATTCAAATAAAAGTGGACCTTTCTTTAGTGTGGAAGATCACAAAAATACAGGATGAACAGCATAGATGCAAACTGTATCAACGGCGCCTCTTTTCATGGATAATTCTTGTTATTTTTATACTGTCATAATTTATATTCTAATTTTTTCTAGAAAAAAATTTTGAGGATGTACTCTCTGCCTTTCAAATTTGCTTCTCCTCAAAAATTTTCCTATAAAAATTATAAAATAAATTTCCTATTTTTAATTTCACTGTATTTGTATGTTTGACCTGCTTTTGTCAGCCTGTTTCTCATGCTTGCTACCAAAGCTTTGTTTAACACTGTTGCATGCCAGTGCACACTCAATTGTTCCACACAATGTATCATTTATTTATACGCTCTCTCCTGGAAATTGGGAACTCCGTGGGCACGAAGATTTCTCCAATACTTGTCTTAAAACCCCCACTTCTTTACAGTGTTTGTCACGTAGTAAATATTAATAGCAGACATTGTTGGTTTCCTACGTAGTAACTATCCTTCCCCCTTTGCTCTTCCTATTGGAGCCCAGATTTCAATCAAGCACCCACCATTTTCCACATAGCCATATGCTTCTGAAGAGGTGAGCCCTTACCCCGGTCGCAGAGAGAGAATCACATTCTAAAAGAGGCAATGATCTCATTCTTTCTGCCAGTGATTGAGGTCAAGTGATGATATTTGGAAAGGAAAATTTGTTCACACAATACAAATTCCCATAGGATGGTATTTCTAATTTTGTTCCCTGCAATGATGCCATTACGGGCTCAGGTTCGTTTTATCTTTCTTCTCTGCCACTTTCAACAGGTTGACTTTATCCCCCGCCTGGACCTGATTCTTTTTAAGATGGCAAACTACCAGTTCCTAGATGTCACCTGCAAATAAGAAAATGGCAGAGCAGAAATTTTTGCTAATAAGTTGTTAGGAAAAAGTTTTTTTAGTGTTATTGTAAATGATTTATCTTGCCAATAGAAATAGATATCACGCCAATAAAAATAGATTAAAAAAACTATCTCCTCTGCAACATTACCCTATTCTTTATATGTGACAGCAGGAACGTTGGCTGCCATGTGACGGGCCTAAGTAGACCCAGCTTGAGGACAAAGCCAGCATGCTGGGGAGGACAGGACAGAGAGACAGAAAAATCCCTGTTCACTTAACCAGTCTTGGCACCTGCTCTACCACACAACTTATCATAGAAACTAATTTTTTCTTTTTCTTTTTCATTGTCTAAAATTTTGTCTTACTGAATGTTGAAGTACCACAAGAAAGACAATAATAATCTCTAAATAATAAATGAATTATTTTAATCCTGAAAGAACTACTGCCCTTAGAAAGGAGCCAAGACATTTTGTCTAAACCAGGGTTTCTCAAATTCGGCACTATTGACATTTTTGGCCCAGATAATCCTTTGCCATAGGTGGGTGGTACTGTGCATTGTACAATGTTTACCAACATCCCTGGTCTCTACCCACTACATGCCAGCGGCACTCTACCACTTGAATACGACAATCAAAAATGTCTCCAGAAATTGCCAGATGTACTCTGGGAGGCCAACTTGCCCCGATATGAAAACTACTGGTCCAAATCTATCATTTTATAGATAAATAAACTTAGGTTCAAAGAATAAAGTGACTTTCTCCAAGATCACACAGCCGTAAAATAGTAGAAGGGAATGAAAATCCATGTGTATGAATTTTCAACACATGTTCATCATGAAACTAATCCTCATCTGTGGGCCACTGTGTTTGACTAATTAATAAATCACGCAACAATATACAAATGAAATAATGGAAATGTATTAGTACCAGGTTTGGCTGTGAGTAACCAAAACTAAAAATAAGAGTGTCTCAAACAAGATGCTTCTCTCTTGCATAAACCCAGGCTTTGTGGGAAGCCTCTATGACCACCATCCTGACTTCTCATAACTCCTTGCTTTACCAGCCTAAAAATATAGCTTCTGCTTCAAGGTCTAAAATAGGCAATTTAGCTCTGGCCATCATATCCTCATTTGAGTCAGGAGGAAGAAGGAAAAGAAGCAAGAAAAGTGTTTGTGACATCCCACCTCTAAGGACGTATCACATTTACCATATCATTTCCACCTCCTCCATGAATCAGAATCTAGCTCCAGGGAATGACAGGGACAGTAGTTTTTATTTGGAGCAGCTATCTTTCCAGCTAACAGCAATGGTTCTATAATTGAGAATAAAGGGAGGTAATATATTAGGAGACAATGAGAGTCTCAACTGGAAAAATGGGGAGGATAGAAAAACAGAGAACAGAACAGAGGAAAGCAAAGAGGAAAAGAAAAAAACAAATATAAATGTTAATTGTCTGGCACTTAGTAGGTCCTCAATAAAGATGACTTATCTTTCCCCTTTCAATCCTCCTACTTCTCCTGTAGAAGTTGTTATTTAAGCACTAACACTAGCTGTTCTGTCCATAGTAGTTAACTATTTAAAACTTATAGTGAAACCTAAATGCAACTAAACATATTAAAATTCAATGCAATGTTTCCGGTGTTTTTATTCAAACAGAGAAGTAGGGGTTTCATTCCCTCGTCTTAATTCTGAAAAGACTTCCATGTGAAACTTGATTATTATTACTATTATTATTATTTTTATTCTGAAGCTGTATCCTACTGTTTTCTGACATTAATTCATCATGTCAGCTGGGCTTACAGATTTTCCTTCTAAGCTAATTACCCAGGAAAGCTGCAGGAACACAACATATTATTATTGTTTTTGTCTCGTGCTCATTTCACAGCAGATGGAGTAAGAAATATGTTGCCTGACACATGGTTATTAAAGAAGTTCGCTGGTCAGTCACAACCAATCAGCTTTTTGTTTACAAGGCTGAACATGCACTAGAAGTTTACATTCAAGTAGTTGTCTTAACAGTTTACATTGTCTTCAACTAAAACTTGAGGCTGAATTACTTTTTAATTTCAGATTTTAAAACAAATAATCTCATTTAAATTCCTGAAAACTATATGTCAAGAAAAAATGATTTGTTCATTTTTCTATTTATTCAAAAACTTTCACAGAGTGTCAGGCATTGTTCTGAATGCTCAGGGGTATTGTGTGTTATTGAATATTGGTAGAATATTGTATTCTATCAAATCAAAGGTAGAGGTAAGACTTTCAGATCTACTTCATCTACTGTAGAATGTGCTGCTTGACATGCCGGTCTGAGGTCTGCATATTTCCTCTGCACTCTCGGAGCAATCTTCCATATAATTGTACATCTTCCCATAGAGAATACAACTGCTGGTTCCCTTGCCTTTGCTCCTCTTAGTTTGCAAACTCTTCAAATAGAAAGGGTCATCTTAGTTACCTCTCAATACTCTGTACCTAGCACTCAACAAAAGTTGGTTTTACAAATACGGAAAAAATTATAAACAACTTGTCTCTTATTTATTTCAACAAAAATGTAAGCAATTGTAATATACATTAAAAGTTATTCAAAATATAGAAGTGATAATGTAGCTTAGAAAAACCATGGAAAGATTCAAGAAAAAAAAAGCAATGACAATATTTTTCTGAAAAGCCTTTTACTCTGTCTCACCAGAAACTATTCTTACTACTCTAATTAGCTGCAACTAGTGTGGTAATGTCAAATGTCAAAGGCGGAGAAAACTCTAACATAGTTAATTTCATCTCCATCTGGTGAAATTATATTACATTTGCAACTTTTAAGAGTTAATTCTTGAAAAGTTACCATTTCTAAAGAAACGCATATGTAAGAGATATCTGCGTGAGTGGCTAATGCTGTCTCTTTACTCTCTTGATAGCTGTCCTGGGATGGATGAATTCACAGTGGCTGACAGGCTGGCCGTTCTACAGCTGCAAATGTCACTGTGAGCTAGATCTGATCAGCTGAGACTTTGCTGTGACCGGGTAGGATATAAATTCGAAAAGATCAAGTGGTAAGTTACTTTGTTTTATAACAAAAAACATATTGAAACCAGGTAAAATATTTATGCAAATTTAGCACATTTTTTATTCATTAAGTTTGAATCTGGGAACTGCCTTAAAATGTTTTTAAAACTTGGTGCTTTTTTGCCTGGACACCAACTACAGTCAAGCTCAGAGCCAAGTCAGGAATAAATTCCCTTTCACAATTGCCACAAGAAGAATAAAATACCTAGGAATACAGCTAACTAAGGAGGTGAAGGATCTCTATAAGGAGAACTACAAAACGTTGCTCACGGATAGAAAGAATCAATATTATTAAAATTGCCATACTGCCCAAAGCAATTTATAGCTTCAATGCTATTCCTATTGAACTGCCATTGAGATTCTTCACAGAACTAGCAAAACTATTTTAAAACCAAAAAGAGCCCGAATAGCCAATGTAATCCTAAGAGAAAGAACAAAGCTGGAGGCATCACACTACCTGACTTCAAACTATACTATAGGTCTACAGTACCAAAACAGCATGGTACTGGTACAAAAACAGATACATACACCAATGGAACAGAATAGAGAACCCAGAAATAAGACCACACACCTACAACCATCTGATCTTCGACAAACTGACAAAAACAAGCAATGGGGAAAGAGAAGATGACACTTTAAAACAATGATTTTTTAATTTCTTCCAGCTCACTAATTCCAGAGGAGAGAAGCAGAGGTGAAAATGAAGAAATAAGGAAAGCAGGAAAGGACGCCCTACATTCCAAAGGGTAAACTGAGAAAACTAGTGTATAAGCAAATCATACCTCATTCCCACTGAGGCCTCTCAGTCTACAAGGCATTCTGCAGTGAATTCCACTGCAGACAGGAAGAAAGGGAGATTGCAATTTTAGATATCGGGACTGGATTTTAATTTTATAATACTAAGCCATTTAAAAATATATTTTTTACTTTAAATCAATAGTCCATTCATATGTTGGAAAAATCCAAACAATGACAAGATATTATCCTATTTCATTTCTTTGATTTCCCTATAGGTAACAGCTTTTGTTAAATTCTTGTGGAGTTATTTGTTACATAAAAGTAACAGATTATTGTGTCTCTTATATTTCTTTGTCTATTCTTTCTTATACAAAAGTTATATTTAATATGACATCCACTGCTTAATCTTGCTTTTTTCCTTAGCATTTTTAATGCAGATCTTTCTATGTCTATATATCTTTAAAATGAATTTTCATTCATTTTAACTTTTGTATAATGCTACATGGGGCAGATTATGAAATTTATTAACCACACATGAACATTTTAAGACCTGTAAATTACTTTAGAAGTATAGGATCTACCAAATATTATTTCATATTTAACAAAGCATGATTATAGATCATAATTTGAAAAATATCAAGTTTATATCCTACCAAATTCTGTTGTTTAAGAAAGAGTTTCTCTACTAAAATGTGTATGTTCAGCCTCAAACGTTGTGCTTAGCTTCATACATACAAAAGGTCATTTAGCTATCTCACGAAAGTCTCCAACTGAGCAAATTTCAAATTGAACTAATTATCTTTTCACAATAACATGTGCATATTTATTGTACAATTCCCCTCTAAAATAGAACAAGGTCCCTGCTGATGCCTACTGAAGCAGAATATCATACTTCCCTCCAGTTCCCCCCATAAAGCTACAGAACAGTGCAGATGGGCTGGCTGACTTTAAGGCAAGTCAGAGGGCCCCAGTACTAGCAATGTGTTTTCTATCTCTCTTAAAATTCTGCTCTGTGAAGCGGTGAGTCATCTCTGACATGGAATCCAGAAGTCTAAGTCTTCAGTCTACCTACCCCACCTACCCCAATTCCCCTGGGCAGGTTCCTAAAAGATAACTACACAAAGGAGCAGCCAACCTAGTTAAAACTTTTAAATACTTTGAGATATTTCCTACAAAACTAGTGTTGGCAACTAGTAAGGTAGGCTGAACAATGTAGAGAAATGCTTTTGCCTAGGTCTTGGGAAGATTTCATTAATCCACAGTTATAGCAGCCCATGAGCCTCCCACTTCCATTTTCTGAGGACCTGTTCCTGCCTTGGACTCTGAGGATGAAAAATGCCCATTCAGGGAAGGCCATGCTGAGATAGTTCAAGCCAGTCAAAGAAATCAATATCTGTTTTAATGCTTAGCATAAGGCAGAGCAATTTTCCAGCAGAAGTAGCACTGACCCCTCTCATAACTTGCAAAGAAGACAGAAAAATTTCTAAGGAACCATTCTTATTTTACTCTTAACTATATTCACATGTCAAAGCACTGAGGCTTTATGTTATATGTGGGCTTTCTACATCTGCCAGAAGCTACTTTGTGTTGTCAATGTTAAAACAGATGTTGGAGAAAAGATGAGAAGTATTAATGTAGAGAGAGTTTGGGTAATAAAAATGACCTCTGAGACAAAGTAAATGGGTTTTAATTAAGTGAAACAAGTCACAGCTGAAGCATAACTTCGGAAAATCCTAAAACTGAGAATGGCACACCGTCACTTCTGTGTTGTTCTTGCCAAAAATTCACAACCTTATTCTAATCATGGAAAAACGTTAGACAAACCCAGATTGAGACACATTCTGCAAAATAACTGACCAATACTTTTTAAAAATGTCAATGTCATGAAAGACCAGAAAACACTGAAGAACTAAGATGAGTGGGGACTGACAACTAAATGCAACGAAATGCAATTTAGGATCCTGGATTGGATCCTAGAACTGAAAACATTAGTGAGAAAAGTGGGAAAGTTTTAATATAAGATGTAACTTGGTTAATAGAATTGTACAAATGTTAATTTTCTGATTTTGATTGTTGCATTATTGTTATGTAAAGCATTGACATTAGGGGAATTTGGGTAAGTGGTGTACAATGACTCTTAATTTTCATCTCTTCTATAAATCTAAAATTATCAAAAACATTTAAGAGTAATACAATGAGATATATCTTATATATGCTACATATGTATGTACATATTCTCTCTACATATACGTACTCTTTCTCACTCTCTCACTTATGCTTACACACATGACATACTGAAAACATTTCTGCTACAAATCACATAAAAAAGCAGAAAATAATAGTATCTTCACAAAGAGGAAGCTAACAAAGGTAAAGTAAGTATGATAAGCATGAATTGTACTGATGTCATAACTTTTCCAAGAGAATTTACTGATACTGATCACCAAGAGTAGTAGTTCTCAAGCCTTGGTGTGCATCAGAACGTGGAGACCTTCTTAAAACGCACATGGCTAGGCTCCACTATCAGAATTTCTAACTCAGTAGGTCTGGATTAGGGTCTAGAAAGTTACATTTCTAACAAGCTTTGTGGTGATGTGATGCTGCTGGTCCAGAGAAACCACAATGAGAACCTGTGAGAAGTGATGGACTAGTGGGTAAAGCTGATGCCATCTAGTCTCTCACGACCACTACTCCACCTGCACAAATCTCATAAGGGTTATGATTTTACTTGAGCTATCTACTGATAGCTATTACTCAGAATGCAACTCAGAGATGTAAAAAAATCTCAAAGATAGGCTAATAAATGAAGAATATAAAATTAGTAGATCTAATATTTATGTAATTGAAGTTCTAAAAAAACAGAATAAGCAGAGTATGAGAAAAGCAGTATTTAGGCAAAAAATGGTTGCAAATTTCACAGAATTTCTGTAGGGCATGAATCTTCAGAATTAAGGAGTATAATGAACAGCAAACATGACAGATAGAATGAAATCTATGCTTTAAAAGATTGATATGAAACCAGAGAGCACCAAAGACAAAGAAAAGATCTTCAAGGCAGCTAGAGAAAAAAGTCGGAATAACTACAGAGGAAAGAGAGGCTACAGTAAATCTTTTGACATGAAAATGGAGGCCAGAAAGCAGTGACATATTAAAATGAAAGCATTGAGAAAAAACAGTGGTAATCCTGGAGTTGTATACCACAGTCTTTCAAAAACAACCAACAAATGAAAAAATTTTCTGACAAAAAATATATATTACCCATTAACTCTCACTAAAGGATAAGCTTCAGAAGGAAGAAAAAATAGATGAAAGAAGAAACAATGAGCAAAAAAAATAGGTATATATAGGTGACAAAAATGTGTAAAATAATAACAATAATGTCTAACAAGATAGAACAATGCAGAAAATGATTACTAAAAACATGACACATAAGAATAAACAGTTGAAGTAAATCAATGTTGTATTGTTCACAATGATGCTTGTAAACAATCATCTGAATGATTCTGTCTGCTGGTATTCTATTAATAATGTAATAGTTATTTTTAAAAACCCTGCACTTAAGAGATCTCAGAAAGGAAACAGGTATTTAGAGAGAATATTATAAAAGTAATAAATTACAAACTATTAATGGAAAAAAGCTTTTAGGGTTTTGGCTAAAATTTATTGTGTACCTTTTATTGTTTTATTGCTAATTATAGTCTTCATGCTGTACACCAAATCTCTAGAGTTATGCATCCTACGTAACTGCAGTTTTGCATCTTTTGATCTATATCTTCCCACATCCCTCAGTGCTCTCCATAACCACTGTTTTACTTTCTGTTTCTATGAATTTGATTTTTTTAGACTCCACATATAAGTGAGACCATGCAATATTTATATTTTTCTGTATCTGGTGTATTCGATGTAATCCATGTAGCCTTGTATTTGAAGGAGCAAGCACCTTTTTCAGTCCTTACAGACAGGTTTGGGCATGTTAAAGACTTGTCTTGTTAATATCAGCCAAGCGTGGTGGTGCACACCTGTAATCCCAGCTGCTCAGGAAGCTGAGGCAGGAAAATCACTTGAGCCTGGGAGGTGGAGGTTGCAGTGAATTGAGATCATGACACTGCACTCCAGCCTGGGTGACAGAGTGAGATTCCATGTCAAAAAAAAAAAAAAAAAAAAAAAAAACTTCTTAGATTCCCAGGGTGATGGGATTGCCTCTAGGATCACAGTTGAATGAGACTGAAAATGGACTATGTGGCTGCTGCAGTGGGGCCCATGGTTGATGAGCCTATGCTTTAGTGGACATGAATTCTGTCTGCATCCTTAGTAAACCAGACTCTCCAGGACCTTGGTCTATAGGCGAGTGCTGGGATGCACATCTACTTAAGCATCCCTAGATAGAAAGTCTATTATTAGGTGCATAGATGGGTGTGGCACCCAGGCAACTTGGTGGCTTCCTGAGCAAGTAGTACTGCCCAGGTTCGTAGCTATGAGGGGCTGGAACTGAGTTGCAGGACCACTGAAGAGCCCACAGCGAGAACTGAATAGACAAAGTCTATTTTGTCTGAGGTAAGTATAACTATCCCTGCTGTCTTTTGTTTACCATTTGCATAGGATATATTTTCCATCCCGTCACTTTCAGTACATATGTATCCTAATATCTAAGGTGAGCCTCCTGTTGATAGCATATAGTCGAATCTTATTATCTGTTCAACCATGTAATGTCTTTTGACTGGTGAGTTTAATTTATAGTAATTACTGATAGGAAATAATTTACTATTTCCATTTTGTTAATTATTTTCTATCTTTTTAAATAGTCTTTTCTGTTTCTCCTTTTCTCTCTTACTGCCATCCTATGGGTTTTGTTGTTTTTTCATAGTAATATTTTTAAATTTCTTATTTCTTTCTCTTTTTCTTTTGTGCATCTTTAGTATGTATTATTTTTTGTGGTTACCATAAAATTTCAAAAATATACTCTATAGTCACACAGCATATTGTAAGCTAATAACAATTTATTTTACTCACAGAAAAAAATTACAATTTTACTTCTTCGCCCACATACCTTATTTTATTGATGTCATAATTTGCATATTTTTGCATTATTAATCCATTAGCAAATTTTTATAGTTATTCTTTATATTTTTCTCTGTTAACTTTTATTCTAAAATTGAAAGTGATATACATACCATTTTAGTATTATAGTATTCTGAAACAAATATATATACACATTTATATTTATATAAACAAACACATATATTTCATATAGTCACTTTTACTAGTGAATTTTATACTTCCAAATGCGATTTTTTGCTATTTAGCATCCTTTTATTTCAAGTTGAAGAACTTTCTTTAGCTTCTTGTTAAGCAGGTCTTGTGGTGATGTCCTTCCTCGGCTTTTGTCTGTGGGAAAGTTTTTATCTCTCCATTTTTGAAGGACAGTTTTGCCAGGTATACTATTCTTAGTTGACCATTTTTTTTCTTCCAGCCTTTTGAATATATAATCCCACTTCCTTCTGTCTTGCAAGGTTTCTGCTGAGAAATCTTCTAATAGTCTCTTAGAGGCTCTTTCGTACATGAAGAGTTATTTTTCTCTTCATGCTTTCAAAATTCTCTTTGACTTTTGAGCATTTGACTGTAGTGTATCTTAGTACAGACTTTTTTGAGTTCAAAACATATTTGGAATTTTGGGGGCTTCATGAATCAGTGTTCATTTTCCTCCATAGATTTGGGAAGTTTTCAGCTATTAATTCTTTAAATAAGCTTTCTGAATCTTCTCTCTCTCCTGCAGAAACTCCCATGATGTGTATATTGGCTCTATTAGCTGTGTCCTATAAGTTCTATAAGCTTTCTGCAGTTTTCAAAAAAACTATTTCTGCCTTTTACACTCCTGGACTAGAAATTTCAAATGACCTATCTTCAATTTTATTGATTCCTTTTTCTGCTTGATCAAGTCTGCCTTTGAAGCTCTCTATTGAATTTTTCCATTCAGTTATGGTATTCTTCTGCTCTAGAATTTGTTTTATGTAATAGTTTCTATATATTTGTTGATATTCTAATTTTCATTATGTATTGTTTTCCTCGTATCACTTAATTTTCTGTGTTCTTATGTAGCTTAGTGACTTTTATGATTATTTTTAATTATTGCTCAGGCAGTTTATAGATCTATATTTTTTGTCCAGGTCAGTTAATGAAGACTTCGTTTTTTCCTTTTGGTGTAATATAGTTTCCCAATTCGTCACATTTCTAGTAGCTCTGTGTTGATGTTGGCACATTTGAAGAAGTAACTACCTCTTCCAATCTTAATGGACTGCTTTCAGTAGAAAAAAAGACTATCACAAGTCAGCCTAGCTAGAGATTCTGGGCATCTCTGAAATGTTTTCAGTGGACGTGCATGGGATGCTCCACTCCTCCCCCAATGAAGTTTGTGTGCCTTCTCCCAATCTCAGAGAGAAATGCAAGTCTCTGTAAACCTCTGATCCCCTTTCTCTATGGCAGTGAACTATGTTAGATGTAGCGTGCAATCTCTACTTCTGTCCCTTCTTTCTAAACGAAAAGATTCTAAGTTGTTTGCCTTCTTCTATCCTATGAAGCTGTGACAGCTGATGAGAGCTGCCTGTCCTTTTTCCCTTGGGCAGTACACTGAAATGCCAGAACATCTAGTGAAATCACCACTTCTCCCCCTGTCTCCATAAAGAGATGTCTCATGATTGTGCGCCCTCAATCTCAATCCCAAAGAATCATGCTGGCTGCTGAGAGCTGCCTGCCCCCTTTCCCTAGGAGAGTGCACTGGGATACTGGGGGGCTGGGTGCAAGTTCCACTTCTCTCCCCTTCTTCTGAAGAAGTCTCAAGATTGTGCACCTTCTCTCAGTCCCGCAACACCTGCAAGCTGCTTGACCATGTGTTTTAAGTATATCCCCAGCTGGAACAACAGAAATTCCCAGAAAAGACACATGACCTTTTCATTCTTTGTAGAAATGACATTAATGACTTACCTGAGCATACAGCATTTCAGTAATTACAACAACCCAATAGAATTTTGCAGCATTGCTAACTGGTTGGCATGTCAAAAATGACAAATTTCAGGCTCAGCCATCTTTTCGTGTAATTCTTATGAAAGCTACGGAGAAAGGAGAATGAAAAGCATCTAACACAAAGCTTTCCTTCTCTTTTATTTCTTCCTCTTTTTAGTTACCTCTCATACTAGCTAAGAATAACTAGGAAGCAACTAGGAAGAGTAACTTAAGAACTTATAGCTGCAGAGGTTCAAAACCAACTGCACTCTATTTAAAGTAAATGTGAGTCCAAGTGCCACACTCCACACACCCAGGCATGAGAGCGGGATAGTTATTCATAAATCTCATGCTGGTCTAAGGAAGCAAGACTCTGGAGCATGATAGATGTGTATCAAGTCTCTCATGAACCTATTTCTGGAGATATGTGTCTACTTACAAGAGCAAGAGGCCCACAGTCGTGTGATCCAGCACTCATTCATGCATTCAATAAGCTTATTTAGTGCCATCTGTATGCAAGTCACCTTGTAAAACTTGCATGATTTAGAACATTAGCTTATTAAGACCTGCTCCCTAGATCAATTCTATGTGTAGAAAAAGGCAATAATAATTAACATATCATGATTTAAAGAATGCTACAAGGCCTCCTCTATTCAAAACTGTACCTTCTCATGGCTTAGTGTGGCTTTATTTGCTCCTCTTTTTTTTTTTTAATCTCATGTTCTTGCATTAGAAATATTTTCTTTCCTTAGGCAACCAAAAAAAGAGAAGTTTTATTTCATTATTCAATAATAATTATTATTATATGTATACAGTCAGCCTCCTGTATTCAGGGTTTCCTTATCCATAGGTTAGACCAACTACAGATTGAAAAGATTGTTAAAAAATAAAAATAATTTCAAATTGCAAAAATGCAAATTAAAAACAATACAGCATAATAAGATTCTAAATAGGCTGGGCGCAGTGGCTCACGCCTGTAATCTCAGCACTTTGGGAGGCTGAGGGGGGCGGATCATGAGGTCAGGAATTCGAGACCATCCTGGGTAGCATGGTGAAACCTCGTCTCTACTAAAAATGCAAAAAAATTAGGCAGGCATGGTGGCGGGCCCCTGTAGTCCCAGCTACTCAGGAGGCTGAGGCAGGAGAATGGTGTGAGCCCGGGAGGCGGAGCTTGCAGTGAGCCGAGATTGTGCCACTGCACTCCAGCCTGGGCAACAAAGTGAGACTCCATCTCAAAAAAAAAAAAAAAAAAAAAAAAAAAAAGACTCTAAATAGCATTTACATTGTATTAGGTATTATCAGTAACCTAAGGATGATTTAAAGTATATGAGAGAAGGTACACAGGTTATATGCAAATACTATGCCATTTTATATAAAGAACTTGAGCATCCACAAGTTTTTGTTTCCTGAAACCAAGCCCCCATGGATACTGAGGAATGACTGTAATAATAACAACCTTATGGCATCTACCCTGTCTTACCTCTGTGACTCCATGTTTGGATCCTATATATGCCCATATATCTTTTTAACTTTTTTTAATTTTTGCAAAAAATTGCAGTGCAACAAAAGAGCCCTAACAGATATAAGTGAGGATCAGTTTATCAGATCAGTTCATTATTTTCTAAGACCGTGCAAATCCTAGAAGTATCAGAAACAAGGCAGCTCATTTTACAGCATGGCCACCATAAGAAAATTAGTTTGGTGAGGGGAAGGTTTAGAACGGAGTGGCCACCATAAGGAAAAGTAGACAAGATCAGGAATTGACTACATTTTGGGATTCACCCATTCAACCAATGTTTATTTAGCACTACTCTATGCCAGGCCTATGATAAAGGTGCTAGGGATACATCAAAAAAGATGACAGACATGGCCACTGATTTCATCTTTGTGAGATAGACCTAATGAAGATCAAGTAAACACATAAATAATAAAATCAATATTGTAATTACTGCTGTGAAAGAAACAAGACAGATGCAATAGTACAAAGATACATTAATAGTTATCTAGCTAGAGAGTGACATTGAACAAGAATATTTTTTACTACTTCATAAAAAGCAAGACAATACAGAAATAGGCCATAACATTGAGGGAAGAGGAGATAAGGAAAACAAGAAACGAAGGAAGCAAAGTTATCTAATCACACTTGATGCCACTTAAAAGTGACTTTGGACCTCAAAAGTATAGCTCCTAGCTCTATGGGCTAGTACTCAAAGAAATCTTATGGACACAGTGGTTGGGAATCTATAAGAATGCATCTCTGAGAATTATCCCAATAGCCCAGTAAGGGCTGGCAATAAAAACATGAAGAATTGCATGATGGGGAAGGCCAACAGCAGCCTCATAAACTGTGGACAGTGAGCTGAATTAAATCTGTAAGTACATCTCCATGCTCTGATGCCTCAAGTGCTGAAAGATGAATGAAGTCAGGTTATACCATTCATTACTGCCAAATAATTATCTATTCCAGAATATGTTTACTTGGCAATTCATACAGCATAAGATGATTCTGGATTATTAAATGTTTAGAGTGTGAAGAGATCGTATGTTGCAATTTTAAAGATTACTATGTTAAGAAAGTAGCATTTTCATATAGTTGGGATCTGTTACAAACTGTAAGAATATCATCCTTGCACCCTGCTCTCCATACTGCCACTCCCTGTCAAGGAGAGGATCGTAGTAGAATAAAGTTAGGCTCACTGTCCTAAAGGATCAAGTTGCCCAGTGATGTAGAAAGAAACTACCTTAGCAGTAACCAAGTCACATAATGATCATGCAGTCAAAAATTATGACACCAAATTTGGATATTAGGTTTGAGTGACACAGGCTTATTTCTATGCTACTCCCAAACCTGAAAAAGAACAAAAAGCAGGAAATTCTGACTCTGAGACCATCTGACCAAGAAATTCTTATTTCTGCATAAGGCTGAGGTTCCTGCGCTTTATCAGCATCTCTGTTAAAATATCAGAGAGATATCGGAAGACTACCAGGAATTAATAGATTGCATGTGTATTCTCTTGCATTGCTTATTTGTTGATTGAATAACCAAACACTTGAAAATAATTTTAGTTAAGACACTGTCATCATTCTCTCAAGACATTGAAATAGGGCAAGTGTAGTCCAGTCCAACTCAGTATAGTAAATATGAAATTTCATTTTAGAAGACTGCTCCATTAATCAGAGTCTAGTGCTTAGATTCTTTCCAAGAAGCCATAGAGCATAACCTTTCCCCAGGGTGTCTTTAAATGTTTTGTCTCCAAAGAAGCACCATTATGGAAAATCCAAATCATCAAGAGATAGACAACTTTGTCATTGACAGAGAAACAGTGAGGTCCACAAGGGATGTAAAAAAAATGTTCAAGATATTTGATGTATGGTAGTATGTAAATTAAAGGAAGGAATGGACTATACCCCCAAACCTCAGACAGCTATTTCCTATTTATTGCATAGGATATCAATTCCTGAGGCTTAAATAATCTCATCTTGGTGAATTCCATACTAGAAAGAACAGCCGTATGATCTGGTAGGTCCTAGTTTAACTCTTAGTAATATGAATTACTTATTTTCTCATTCATTCCACAGTTATTTACTAGAGTCAGCATAGATGTGCTTGTGACACAGCCTGGGGATCAGTGACGCTTCCTTTAAGGAGTCTTCATCGGAGATTGGAAGGATGAGGAGTTAAATAAGCAATTCTGGGAATGTGAGAGAGTTCCAGACAGAGAGAACCATCTTTACAAAAAAAGCTGTATATTTTTCATCTCACTGGCAAATATCACAAAGTTTAGTAAGCATATGGAGACAAAATTCTCTTTTACACTGCTGATGTGTGTAAATCAGGAAATGCTCATAAAAACAATTTGGAAAAATAAAATAATTACAAATCCACATAGTTTTTGATCTATTAATTTAGCATCTATGACTGCAACCTTTTAATGTATTCATGTAATATGACAAATGTAGTCATAACAAAATTTTGGGGTGGTAATTCAAAAAGATTAGAAACCATTTAATCTTTATCAATGGGGGAGGCTAGATCAATAACACATACAAAGAAAGGAATAACACAAAGCTTCATATGGTCATAAAAAGAAAGATTAAGTGTTATATGAACCAATACGTCATTTTCTCTTGTATAGACACTGTTAGGATCCTGCCCAGATCCTCTTCACTGGGCTAGTAAGCATAATCCTGAGCTATGTTGAGTGTCCTCTACTAACTAGGTTTGCACCCTGCCCTTGAGAATTACCCTCAAACGAGCACTTCCACCTCAATGAGAGATGTCTGTGATATTACACAATCTCCAAGGGTTTAAAGGATGGTCTGCAGGCAATATCTGACTAATTTTAGCTAATAAAAGCCAGACCCCTTGCCCAAAGGCAGGACAGTCTGCAGTGTGATTATTCTTCAGAGCATTGTGTGGGAACAGGCTGGATGAAGCTTAACTGAAGCCAGACTCACACCAGCCCCTGTCTTCTACTCCTGCTCTGTCCTCCATCTCTCACTCTCTTATGGGTTTTCCACCTGAGAGCATTCACTTGAACACAAATCCCCATCTTGGGACCTGCTTCTAAAGAACCTGACCTAGGAGGTTTGTATTTTTATTTATTTTTTAAAATCTCTCATTCCATAAAATATACAGAACCAAATTTTGTCAGAAGAACAAAAGTAATTGAGGAATAGGAAAAAACAGTGTGAGCTGTAGACAACTGGGCTAGAAAGATCTGTCTGCTTTTTCAAAAGAGTTTCAAAAACACCCTCTTTGAAAGCTGAACAATCAGTCCTAATCCTTAAATGTCCACATTAAAAAAAAAAAAATTCCTACTATCTCAAAACTCTCACCAAATTTTCTGCAGCAGTTCTTGGCAAGTTGATCCCTTCCCCGAGGGAAAGTAGATTCTTAAAACCTCTCACAGCAGAAAGCTATGGCCACACAAAGCCTCCATATAAGATAACACACAACTGGAATAGGTGGGAAAAACAACCCAAACTGAAACAAAACAAAAGCAAATAGAAAACCTGGTCCTGGGAACAATATCCATAGAATATACTCAAAATCAAATGGTCAGAGATACAATGCATACTTGTTTCTATCAATTCTGTTCTGATTACCATCCCATTGTTTAGTCCTCTTCTATCTATCCTTGTAGGCCTGCAAGTTATATTTTTGGAATGGTTATTTCAAGCTCTGAATAAGCATTCATGATATGTTTTTGCCCATTGGAAACCTATGACAAATGATCATTTCAACAGTGTTGAGCTGCCTTTCAGTCTGCATTAAACAAGTGGGGTTGAGCCACCATATATATAGTTCCTATTTTTTGTTAGAAATTTGAAAATTATAAACTATACCTAAGGGTATTCAATGGTCTGCTCCCTTATCTGTGTTTGAAAAGCCTATTTTGTGAAAGTCCAGAAATATTCTCTCATAGCCATTTAATGCTGTGGGTCCCTAAACAATGGTGATTGATTTTGTTTGGTCTGGCAAACACAAATTATCCCATAATCATTTTAGCCTGCCAGCTATGCTTACATTGACTTGTTTGTGTTTCAGAGAAGAAAATGCAGTAACTGTCATGAAAAATGGAAAGGGTTAGAGGCAAATAAAAGATTTATCTGTGCTGAGGAAAAATGCAGCTACTTTAATTTTCTACACCAAATGAGTTTCATTTGATATCAAAGAAAAGTGAATTCGAAAATAGAAGTGAGCACTTCAGTTTTCAAGTAAACTGATCCTTTAGACATCCATTATGAGTTTTGAGTCACTGGCCTGCTCTGTGCCAGAAAAAAAAAAAAAAAAAAATAGCAAACCCTAAATGGGATAACAGTTTCTGCAGTTTTTGTCCTAAAAACACTGTTCCTTGTAATGATATCACAGAAATCCAGTAATGAGTTTCACACACACACACACACACACACACACACACATCCTCATAAATGCCTTGAAAACTAGCAAGTAAAACGGACATTAAATAAATGTTTGAAAGAAGGAAAAAAAGAAAGAAAATAGGAAAAAGGGTAAAGAAAAAGGAAATAAGGAAAGAGAAAGTGGAGAAAGTAATGTCTTTCATTTAAATAGCTGATGCCTGTCTCATTCTATGTCATATTTCCAATATAGCATAGTGGAAAACTAGAGCTTTCTTCTGCTAGTATCCTTTTCTAGGCATCCATTTTGTTAACTGAAAATGAGCAGGCAGGACTACTTCTTTTCCTAGAACCCCTTGGTGTTGACCTCCTACGATTCTAAAGTAATTTCTACAACAGCAGGCATTTGATAAATGCCCTACAGTACCAGCTAGAAGGCTGATAAAACCAATAGGGTACAAAGTTCCCAGGGAACTGTGCATGGTCTGAAAAGTAATAGTCATTGAAATATTCCAACAAAAAAGAGAAAGGTGTCAAGTCAGCAATTTGGAAATACCCTTTGGGGTAAAATAAGAAACAATTACATTCTATCAGGCATTTCTGAGCAGTTCATCTTGACAGCCTTTGCCATTTCAGCTTTGTCTCTCAAGCATACACCACCCACATTAGCCCTAATTGCTCTTTCCTTTGGATACTCTAAGTTCTTCTGACTTGGCTGGGAAAGTTTAATTGCAAAGTGTCATCTACTTTCACAATATTTTTCATTGCTTGACTCAACCTTCATTTAGTAATTGATAACAATAATATAGACAAATGCACAATGTTCTTATTAATGACCATTTTACACAAAAACAAAACAAAAATAATAATACCTGCCTACTTCTTTTGTTATACAGTGTTGTTGAGGGTGTTTCAGGAATCAAATATGAGTAGGTACCTGTGTTTCCAATGTTTATCTCTATAGGAAATTTATGTAAGCATTAGTTTCAGGATAATTATCATAATACCATGTAGGACAGTAAACACTATTTGATTTTCATTCAGGCCTATGTATACATTCAAATTAATTCAACATCTATTAAGTACTTTATATTATTAGGCCACTCATCAAAATTTTGGAATTTTATGGAAGGGATGTGGAGGATAACAAAATGAATGCATAGTGTTCAAGTTTTAATAATATAATGTTCCATATTTAACTTCTCAAAGATAAGTCATATCCAGCATCTACTTTAGTCCTTCTAGCAACCTCCTGTGGTAAGCAGTGCATGGATTTTTTTTTTCTTTTAATAGGCATAGAAAAAACCAGATAAATCATGACTTTTCCAAGTTGCTGGAAATCTGTGGAATAATCAGCATTAAAACACTATGCTTCTTATGAAAAACAAAAGCTTCTTATATACTAGATTAAATCAATTTGCTACCAGGCTGGGGTTCAAAGACGCAAGCACAACACAATAGTATTAAGGAGAATAAAATACTTCATATTATGTGTCAGATAAAACATCTGATTTGATGATTCACCAAATAGTCATTGGGAAAATAATATGTCAAGCACTATGTTAGGCATTGGAAATAAGTAATTAATAAGATGTAATCTCTATCCTACAGAATCTTGCAGGTTGTTTCTATTATGAAAGGCAGAATAAACCATAAAACATAAGACAAAAATGTTTGTAGCAATATTTCAAAAATAAAGTTATTTCCAGCCTTATTGGAGTCACTAGTACTGGATTTGCCCTCTGCCATATAAAACGGCAAAATGCATGAAACAACTGTTTTAAAAAACATCATACATCAGCGCTATAGAGCTGCAATCCCTGAGACCAGGGACACAAATGAGATGAGCCCTACGGCTTCAGCTTTCTGACAAGGAGGCACCTTCTAGTGCAGGAATGCGGAAACTATGCAGATATTGGAAGTCACACTGAGTTGAAAAAACAGATGTTGGAATTCAGGGTGGTGAATACAGCTAATAACTGTGAGGCAGAATACTGGAAAATAGAATGCGTATGTAGAGTAAAAATTTTATCTTAAATCTTTGCCTAAACATCAAGCTGTACATACCTAAATAAAACTCCACAAGTCTGAGGATAGATTAACTGTAAGAGGGCTATAAACTAAACAATTCCCAGAGATCACACATTGCTAGAAGAAATGCGAGTTCTTGCTTGCCAGAATAGAGAGGTCTCAGTGAAGACACAGGACATTCAGTAGGAACCTTAGTAACCCTAGTATGTGTCACACCTTATTAGTAAGATTAAACAAGCCCTAAAGTAAAGTCTGCTCCAGACCTTACCTAACAGTTTTAAAACAACATGTGAAGGGATCTAATTGATATACAAGGAACTTAACTGTTTGCCAACATAAAATTTAACAATGTTTAAAGAAATACAACAAAATTTAGACATTCAACATTGTAATATTCACAATATTCAGTGCCCAATCAAAAAATTTAAATATGCAATAAACCATGAAAATTTGGCCCATAATCAGAGGAAAAAGAAAATAAATCAAGGAAGAAAATGTCAATGGAAACAGAACTATAAATAAAGATAATGGAATTACAAATTACTGGACAATGACTTTTTTTTTTTTTTTTTTGAGATGGAGTCTCGCTCTTTCACCCAGGCTTGAGTGCAGTGGTGTGATCTCGGCTCACTGCAGCCTCCGCCTCCCAGGTTCAAGCCATCCTCCCACCTCAGACTCCTGAGTAGCTGAGACTACAAGTGCAACACCATGTCGGGCTAATTTTTGTATTTTAAGTAGAGACGGGTTTCCATCATGTTGGCCAGGCCAGTCTCAAACTCCTGACCTCAGGTGATCTCCCCTCCTCGGCCTCCCAAAGTGCTGGGATTACAGGTATCAGCCACCATGCCCAGCCTAGACAAGACCTTTAAAAAAGATTTTATAAATACACACAAAAATTTAAAGGAAATAGAAACATAATAAATATTTTCTTCTGTTATATGTGTTGTCTTTTTTACTCTCTTGATAGTATGCTTTGATGCATAAAAGTTTTTATTTTTCATGAGGTCCCATTTACCTATTTTTTTTTCTTCCATTGCTCATGAGTTTGGTATCATATCTAGGAATTCATTGTCAAACCCATGGTCATGAAGATTTATTCCTATGTTTTCTTGTTATGGTTTTATAATTGTAGCTTTTACATTTAGGTCACCGATCCATTTTTAGTTATTTTTTGTGTATGATGTAAGGGTAGAGGCCCAACTTCATTCTGTTGCTTGTGGAAATCCAGTTGTCCCAGAAGTAACTGTTGAAGTGACTATTTTTTCTCCATTTAATGGACTTGGCACCTATGTCAAGAACCAATTAGCCATAGATTTATTGGTTTAGTTTTGTAATCTCAATTCTATTCAACTGGTCATATGTCTATTCTTATGATGGTACCACATTGTTTGAATTACTGTAGCTTTATAGTAAGTTTTGAATCAGGAACTTTGGGTCTTTCAGCTTTATTCTAGTTTTTCAAGACTGTTTTGGCAATTCAGGGCCATTTGCAATTTCACAAGAATTTGAAGATCAGCTTTTCTAATTGTGGAAAAAATACCATTGGAATTTTGGTAGAGATTGCATTGAATCCGTATCTTTCTTTGAAGAGTATTGACATTTTAACAATATTTAATCTTCCTATCCATAAACATGGTATGCCATTCCATCTGTTTAGGTCTCCAACTTCTGTCAGCAATGTTTTGTAGTTTTCAAGGAATAAGATTTTCACCTACTTGGTTTATTTAGATGCTATTGTAAGGGGAATTTCTTTATAAATTTTCATGTCATTTGTTAATATAGATATCTTTACTTCTTTCTTTTCAATATAGATGCCTTTATTTTTCTTATCTAATTTTTCTGACAAAAAATTCAGTACAATGCTGAATAGCAGTGGTGAAAGCAGACCTCTTAGTTTTTGTTCCTGATCTTAAATAAAAATTTTTCAGTCTTTCACTATTGAATATGATGTTAGCTTTGGGTTTTTCAAATGTATCCTTTAACATATTGAAGGAGTTCCTTTCTATTTTTAATTGTTATTATGAAAGGGTACTGGATTTTGTCAAATGCCTTTTCTCCATCAATTGAGATAACTGAGTGCTCTTTTCTTCTTTATTGTTATTAGTGTAATTGTATTTATTGTTATTAATGTGATGTATTATATTAACTAGCTTTCTTATGTTGAGCTATCTTGTATTCATTCATGAGCTAAATCCCATATGATAATCATTTATAATACTTTTAATAAATGTTTGATTTGGTTTGCTAGCATTTTGTTGGTGAGTTTTACATCTATATTCATAAAAGATATTGATTTGTAATTTTCTTGCCATTTCTTTTTGTGGTTGTGGTATTAGTATAATTCTGGCCTCATTGAATGGGTTAGAAAGTGTTTCCTCCTCTTATTTTTTAAAAGAATTTGAGAAGGATTGGTGTAAATTCTTGTTTCATTAGTGAACCTTGTTCTGAAATTTCTTTCTAGAGATTTTTTTAAATTACTGATTTAATTTCTTTGCTTGTTACAGGCCCATTGAAACTTTCTATTTCTTATTTCTTTCTTTCTATTTCTTCTTGAATCAGTTTAGGCAATTTGTGTGTTTTTAGGAATCTGTTTGTTTCATGTAAGTTATCTAACTTATTGGTGTCCAATTGTTTTAGTATTATCTTATAATCCTTTTTATTTCTATAAGGTCATTAGGAATGCCTTCACTCTCTTCTCTGATTTTAGTTATTTGCAACAACTCTCTCTATCTCTGTTTTTTTTTATTAGTCAGTCTAGCTAAAGGTTTATCAATTTTGTGGCTCTTTTAAAAGAATGAAGCTATGCTTTTATTGATTTTCTCTATTGTTTTTCTATTCCGTATTTTATTTATTACTACTGTGCCCTTCATTCTGCTAGACTTAGGTTTACTTTATCTTCTTTCTCTAGCTCCTCAAAATGTAAAGTAAGTTACTGATTTGAGATCCTTCTTTTTTAGAAAATAATTCTAATCCTAATTTGGAGAGAAATTGTGACTAAAAGCATGCTACCATTAATTAATGTATCTGCTCAATCGAAGTTTCTAATGCAGTCAGGCATTTTATTCATTATTTTTTAATAAACCTTCAAATTTACTCAGGAGGAGTAAGCGAAGTGGCTGAACCCTCTAATTTAATGTATTCTATACCTAGCTTTCATCCCTGTGAGATAATTTATCTGTGTTATTCCAAAGATAAGATAATCTATAAAATAATCTCTAACAAGTTAAGATCACTGTGCATCTATAATTGTGAACCATTAAAACATGTCAAATATATCGTTTATACCTTTGACATTCAAGATGTTTACATCTGTTATATATATTCATTTTTCTAATCAGCCTGTTTCCTTTGTGAAAAATGTCCAGTTAAATGCCTCCCTCATATGGAATGTGACACTGTTGACATTGTTTTTGCCCTGTACTATATCAATGCTAACTAAGAGATAATCAAGAATTTTGGAAAGTGTGGTTTGTTTAATTGAAGGGGCAATTATAAGATTCTAAATCTTATCTAAAAAATACAGTGCCCATGACCATACAATTGATAACCATTTCTGAAGTTATTTTGAATTCAAACATTAGTTTGTTTACTGATTATTAAAAATGTTTTTGAATTTGATATTTTACCAGATTTGAGATAAAAAGTATTACTGAAGAAAGTGTTTGGAAACAGGATATAGTTTTAATTTGTGGATTTCATATTTTATCAGGTTCAAGATCTAAAAATATTATTGAAAGTGGAAAGCGGAATAGAGTTTTAATTTAATCATTTAAGACTTAAAATTCAAATGTAATTTTTAGAAGCTGCCATAAAAAGTTTGAGTATCTGCTGACTAAAAATGAAAGTTAAAAAATCATACAAATGATGTGTGAAATACAAACCACTGTCTTTTTTTATTGCCTTATATAATAAAATACAATAACCTTCTTTTTAGACATCTGAGACAATTTCCTGATCCTACTCATTTCAAAATAAAATGTTTTCATTCATTGACTTACTCTGCAAGTACTTTTTTTTTTAACCATTGACTTTGTACTAGACAATTTGCTGAATGCTTGGGATGCAAATATCTGTAAGATACATTTCAACTGGAAGTCATTAGAATGACAGATAACAAAACAAAGGTCTAGGCACCCACAGAAACAGAATAACCCACACTAAATATCAGCATACTAAGTGAAAGTCAGATTTTGATACTTCAAAGCTCTAGCTGCTGAAAAGAGACTTGGAAACTAGTGTGAAAGGGCATTGCAGTCTTATACAAAGCATTGCTTCTGGGGAAGAATTGTGTAACTATATAGGGGTGGTACCCCTTGAAGACATAGAAGTGAAGAGAAAGTAGAAAGAAAGAGAGAAAAACTGAAAAACTAAAGTTCTATAGACAGAAAGTAAAACAAGTAAGATGAACAACCCCGTCTACTCTACCACAACCAACTTTACGTTATCTATTAAATTAAATACTACAAATTTAACAAATAGTATCCCACCTAAAATGATAGAGAATGACATATTTGATTTAAAACCCTACTAATAAAATGCCTAGGAATAAAAAATACTTAAACACAGTGCAAGTATACTGTAAAAAAATTAAGCTATAACATATTTGGTGGGTATTATTTCCTAAAAATACAACTATGAAGCAGAACAAAATTACAGCATAGCACTCAAAACTGAACTAAATATTAATTATATTAATATATTCCCAAATATTTGGGAATATATTTTACAAAATAAAGAAAACTATCATCAGAAATTCTTAAACCAAAAAAAAAAAGTTACATAAAAAAGCAAATTTCATGAGATTGTTGAAACCCTAAAGAGAAATTAGGAAAAAAAGACAAAATCATAAGAAGAAAGAGTAGTAAAAATAGATATGAATTATAATTTAATAAGGTAAATAGAAGTAAAACAGAAATGCAAGAGAATGAGAAAGAAGAGAGTAAAGAAATATAGAGGATCACAAAAAAGTTGTTAAAATTGAAAGTAAAAAAAAAGATTACATATATATATGTGTATATATATATATACACATATATATATATATATATATATATATATATATATACACATATATATATATATTTACTGTTCTTAAAAAGTGCACCAGGAGCAAAGAAAAAAATTAAAACGTAATTCAGGGAGACTTTCCAGAAATAAGAACAAATGTAAATTATTATATCAAAATGTCCTACCATTTACCTGTCAATTTTGACCTGAAAAAATTAACTCTTAGATATTCAAGTCAAACTAAAAAGTTATCAGGACAACCAGACAAAAAGATCTAATTACTTATAATAGTAATAGAAGAAGGCTATTAATTCACTTCAAAAGAGCAATAATTAAAAGCCATTTTCAAGACACTCAAAAGAGAAAGCATAAGACAAAAGATTTTATATCTAGCCAAGCCATTTTTAAAATATAGATTATATTAAATGTCAGGCCTCTGAGCCCAAGCCAAGCCATCGCATCCCCTGTGACTTGCACGTATACGCCCAGATGGCCTGAAGTAACTGAAGAATCACAAAAGAAGTGAATATGCCCTGCCCCACCTTAACTGATGACATTCCACCACAAAAGAAGTGTAAATGGCCGGTCCTTGCCTTAACTGATGACATTACCTTGTGAAAGTCCTTTTCCTGGCTCATCCTGGCTCAAAAAGCACCCCCACTGAGCACCTTGCGACCCCCACTCCTACCCGCCAGAGAACAAACTCCCTTTGACTGTAATTTTCCTTTACCTACCCAAATCCTATAAAACAGCCCCACCCTTATCTCCCTTCGCTGACTCTCTTTTCAGACTCAGCCCGCCTGCACCCAGGTGAAATAAACAGCCATGTTGCTCACACAAAGCCTGTTTGGTGGTCTCGTCATACGGACGCGCATGAAATTTGGTGCCGTGACTCGGATGGGGGGACCTCCCTTGGGAGATCAATCCCCTGTCCTCCTGCTCTTTGCTCCATGAGAAAGATCCACCTACGACCTCAGGTCCTCAGACTGACCAGCCCAAGAAACATCTCACCAATTTCAAATCCGGTAAGCGGCCTCTTTTTACTCCCTTCTCCAACCTCCCTCATTATCCCTCAACCTCTTTCTCCTTTCAATCTTGGCGCCACACTTCAATCTCTCCCTTCTCTTAATTTCAATTCCTTTCATTTTCTGGTAGAGACAAAAGAGACATGTTTTATCCGTGAACCCAAAACTCCGGCGCCGGTCACAGATTGGGAAGGCAGCCTTCCCTTGGTGTTTAATCATCGCAGGGACGCCTCTCTGATTATACACTCACGTTTCAAGGGTGTCAGACCACACAGGGATGCCTGCCTTGGTCCTTCACCCTTAGCGGCAAGTCCCGCTTTTCTGGGGAAGGGGCAAATACCCCTCAAACCCTTCTCTCCTTGTCTCTACCCCTTCTCTGCTTTTCTGGGGCAGGGGCAAATACCCCTCAACCCCCTCTCCTTCACCCTTAGCGGCAAGTCCCACTTTCCTAGGGGGCAAGAACCCCCCAGTCACTTATTTCCACGCCCCAACCTCTTATCTCTGCACCCCAATCCCTTATTTCCATGCCCCAATCTCTTATCTCTGTGCCCCAATCCCTTATTTCCATGCCCCAACCCTTTCTCTGCTTTTCTGGAGGCGAAGAAACCCCCACCCCTTCTCCGTGTCTCTACTCTTTTCTCTGGGCTTGCCTCCTTCACTATGGGCAAGTTCCACCTTCCATTCCTCTTTCTTCTCCCTTAGCCTGTATTCTTAAGAACTTAAAACTGCTTCAATTCTCACCTGACCTAAAATCTAAGCATCTTATTTTCTTCTGCAATGCCGCTTGACCCCAATACAAACTCAACAGTAGTTCCAAATAGCCAGAAAACGGCACTTTCAATTTCTCCATCCTACAAGATCTAAATAATTCTTGTCATAAAATGGGCAAATGGTCTGAGGTGCCTGACGTCCAGGCATTCTTTTACACATCAGTCCCTTCCTAGTCTCTGTGCCCAGTGCAACTCGTCCCAAATCTTCCTTCTTTCCCTCCCGCCTGTCCCCTCAGTACCAACCCCAAGCATCGCTGAGTCTTTCTAATCTTCCTTTTCTACAGACCCATCTGACCTCTCCTCTCCTCTAAAGGCCGAGCTAGGTCCCAATTCTTCCTCAGCCTCCACTCCTCCACCCTATAATCTTTTTATCGCCTCCCCTCCTCACACTTGCTCCGGCTTACAGTTTCGTTCCGTGACCAGCCCTCCCCCACCTGCCCAGCAATTTATTCTTAAAAAGGTGTCTGGAACTAAAGACATAGTCAAGGTTAATGCTTCTTTTTCTTTATCCCAAATCAGATAGCGTTTAGGCTCTTTTTCATCAAATATAAAAATCCAGCCCAGTTCATGGCTCGTTTGGCAGCAACCCTGAGACACTTTACAGCCCTAGACCCTAAAAGGTCAAAAGGCCGTCTTATTCTCAATATACATTTTATTACCCAATCTGCTCCCGACATTAAATAAAACTCCAAAAATTAAATTCTGGCCCTCAAACCCCACAACAGGATTTAATTAACCTCACCTTCAAGGTGTACAATAATAGAAAAAAGTTGCAATTCCTTGCCTCCACTGTGAGACAAACCCCAGCCACATCTCCAGCACACAAGAACTTCCAAATGCCTGAACCGCAGTGGCCAGGCGTTCCTCCAGAACCTCCTCCCCCAGGAGCTTGCTACAAGTGCCAGAAATCTGACCACCAGGCCAAGGAATGCCCACAGCCCGGGATTCCTCCTAAGCCGCGTCCCATCTGTGTGGGACCCCACTGAAAATCGGACTGTTCAACTCACCTGGCAGCCACTCCCAGAGCCCTTGGAACTCTGGCCCAAGGCTCTCTGACTGACTCCTTCTCGGCTTAGCAGCTGAAGACTGACGCTGCCTGATTGCCTCAGAAGCCCCGTAGACCATCACAGACGCCGAGCTTTGGGTAACTCTCACAGTGGAAGGTAAGTCCGTCCCCTTCTTAATCAATATGGAGGCTACCCACTCCACATTACCTTCTTTTCAAGGGCCTGTTTCCCTTGCCTCCATAACTGTTGTGGGTATTGATGGCCGGGCTTCTAAACCTCTTAAAACTCCCCAACTCTGGTGCCTACTTAGAAAATACTCTTTTAAGCACTCCTTTTTAGTTATCCCCACCTGCCCAGTTCCCTTATTAGGCTGAGACACTTTAACTAAATTATCTGCTTCCCTGACTACTCCTGGACTACAGCTGTATCTCATTGCCACCCTTCTTCCCAATCCAAAGCCTCCTTTGCGTCCTCCTCTTGTATCCCCCCACCTTAACCCACAAGTATAAGATACCTCTACTCCCTCCTTGGTGACCGATCATGCACCCCTTACCATCTCATTAAAACCTAATCACCCTTACCCCACTCAATGCCAATATCCCATCCCGCAGCATGCTTTAAAAAGATTAAAGCCTGTTATCACTCACCTGCTAGAGCATGGCCTTTTAAAACCTATAAAATCTCCTTACAATTCCCCCATTTTACCTGTCCTAAAACCAGACAAGCCTTACAATTTAGTTCAGGATCTGCGCCTTATCAACCAAATTGTTTTGCCTATCCACCCCATGGGGCCAAACCCATATACTCTACTATCCTCAATACCTGCCTCTACAACTCATTATTCTGTTCTAGATCTCAAACATGCTTTCTTTACTATTCCTTTGCACCCTCAATCCCAGCCTCTCTTCGCTTTCACTTGGACTGACCCTGTCACCCATCAAGCTCAGCAAATTACCTAGGCTGTACTGCCGCAAAGCTTCACAGACAGCCCCCATTACTTCAATCAAGCCCAAATTTCTTCCTCATCTGTTACCTATCTCGGCATAATTCTCATAAAAACACACGTGCTCTCCCTGCCAATCGTGTCCGACTGATCTCTCAAACCCAAGAACCTTCTACAAAACAACTGCTTTCCTTCCTAGGCATGGTTAGCACGGTCAGAATTCTTACACAAGAGCCAGGACCGCACCCTGTAGCCTTTCTGTCCAAACAACTTGACCTTACTGTTTTAGCCTAGCCCTCATGTCTGCGTGCAGCGGCTGCCGCTGCTTTAATACTTTAGAGGCCCTCAAAATCACAAACTGTGCTCAACTCACTCTCTACAGTTCTCATAACTTCCAAAACCTATTTTCTTCCTCATACCTGACGCATATACTTTCTGCTTCCCGGCTCCTTCAGCTATACTCACTCTTTGTTGAGTCTCCCACAATTACCGTTGTTCCTGGCCCAGACTTCAATGCGGCCTCCCATATTATTCCTGATACCACACCTGACCACCATGACTGTATCTCTCTGATCCACCTGACATTCGCCCCATTTCCCCAAAGTTCCTTCCTTCCTGTTCCTCACCCTGATCACGCTTGATTTATTGATGGCAGTTCCACCAGGCCTAATCACCACACACCAGCAAAGGCAGGTTATGCTATAGTACAAGGCACTAGCACGCCTCTTAGAACCTCTCATTTCCTTTCCATCCTGGAAATCTATCCTCAAGGAAATAACTTCTCAGTGTTCCATCTGCTATTCTACTACTCCTCAGGGATTATTCAGTCCCTCTCCCTTCCCTACACATCAAGCTCGAGGATTTGCCCCACCCAGGACTGGCAAATTAGCTTTACTCAACATGCTTGAGTCAGATAACTAAAATACCTCTTAGTCTGGAGGTATTTTAGTTACTGGATAGGTACTGGCCTTTCCTACAGGGTCTGAGAAGGCCACCACAGTCATTTCTTCCCTTCTATCAGACATAATTCCTCACTTTAGCCTTCCCATCTCAATACAGTCTGATAACAGATGAGCCTTTATTAGTCAAATCAGCCAAGCAGTTTTTCAGGCTCTTAGTGTTCAGTGAAACCTTTATATCCCTTATGGTCCTCCATCTTCAAGAAAAGTAGAATGAACTAAAGGTCTTTTAAAAACACACCTCACCAAGCTCAGCCACCAACTTTAAAAGGACTGGACAATACTTTTACCACTTTACCTTCTCAGAATTCAGGCCTGTCCTCAGAATGCTACAGGTTACAGCCCATTTGAGCTCCTGTATGGACACTCCTTTTTATTAGGCCCCAGTCTGATTCCAGACACCGGACCAACTTAGACTGTGCCCGAAAAAACTTGTCATCCCTAGTATCTTCTGTCTAGTCATACTCCTATTCACCGTTCTCAACTACTCATACATGCCCTGCTCTTGTTTACACTGCCGGTTTACACTGTTTTTCCAAGCCATCACAGCTGATATCTCCTGGTGCTATCCCCAAACTGCCACTCTTAACTCTTGAAGTAAATAAATAATCTTTGCTGGCAGGACTAAGCCGAATCTCCTTAAGCACTCTCTAATCAGATATCCTGAGTCATCCCAATTCTTAGACCTTTTATACCTGTTTTTCTCCTTCTGATATTCCATTTAGTTTTTCAATTCATACAAAACCGTATCCAGGCCATCACCAATCATTCTATATGACAAATGTTTCTTCTAACATCCCCACAATATCACCCCTTACCACAAGACCTCCCTTCAGCTTAATCTCTCCCACTCTAGGTTTGCACACCGCCCCTAATCCCGCTTGAAGCAGCACTGAGAAACATCGCCCATTCTCTCTCCATACCACCCCCCAAAAATTTTCGCCACCCCAACATTTCAACACTATTTTATTTTTCTTATTAATATAAGAAGGCAGGAATGTCAGGCCTCTGAGCCCAAGCCAAGCCATCGCATCCCCTGTGACTTGCACCTATATGCCCAGATGACCTGAAGTAACTGAAGAATGACAAAAGAAGTGAATATGCCCTGCCCCACCTTAACTGATGACATTCCACCACAAAAGAAGTGTAAATGGCCGGTCCTTGCCTTAACTGATGACATTACCTTGTGAAAGTCCTTTTCTTGACTCATCCTGGCTCAAAAACACCCCCACTGAGCACCTTGCGACCCCCACTCCTGCCCACTGAGCACCTTGTGACCCCCACTCCTACCCGCCAGAGAACAAACCCCCTTTGACTGTAATTTTCCTTTACCTACCCAAATCCTATAAAACAGCCCCACCCTTATCTCCCTTCGCTGACTCTCTTTTCAGACTCAGCCCGCCTGCACCCAGGTGAGATAAACAGCCATGTTGCTCACACAAAGCCTGTTTGGTGGTCTCTTCACACGGACGCGCATGAAATTAAACACTTTCGATTTTGAAAAATATCACATTTCTGAGGAACCTGTAAGAGGATAAATTTTAGGTTTTCAAAAGATAATGGGAAATTTCAGGAAACAAACAGATGTTGAGAATTTAATATACTTAATTTTAGATCTAAGTCTGAAACAAAGGTGAAGACATGGGGAGAAAGAATAATACGTAAAGGCTATATTTTGAAATAGTAAAAAGAATGGTAGTAAAATACAGAAGAAGTAAGAAGAAAGAAAAAGTAGAACAAGTCAATTTATTGTTATAAAGGAAATAGGTGGAAGCAAAGGATACTATTTAAAACTGACATGCTAGGTAATAAAATATAAAGTAAAAATTTAAAAATTGAGAGCATTATAAAAAATAAATGTATTCATTAAGCAAAAATAGAAGCTTTCAACTTAAATATTTAAATATAAAAGATCCATTGAATAGAAAAATAGTTGTAGCAAATTCATTGTAATTAATATATTAATTATAAAATAAAATAATATCTCAGACAAATAAATCTGAGGAAATTCATCATCACTGGATCCATTTCATAAGAAATTCCAAAGGGAGTTCTTCAATCTGAAAGAAAAGAACACCAATGTGAAAAAAGAAAACTTTCGAAGATATAAAACTAACTCAAAAAAGTAGATTCACAGATACATTCAGAATACTCTAATACTAATTGTGGTACGTAATCCACTGATATCTTTAGTAGGGAGACTGAAAGGCAAATCTATAGAAAAGAATAGTAACTACAGCAACCTCTTAAGACAGGGAATATAAAAAGCTGTAAATTGAGACAACAAAAAGTCAAAATGTTGAGAGGATGAGGTTAAAGTGTTGAGCATTTTAGTTTTTCCTCTGTTTCTTTTTTGTGTGATCAAAATTATCATCTATTTAAAATAACTTATAATTTCTATAAAATGTTTCTGTAAGCCTCGTAGCAGCCACAAAACAAAAACCCGTAACAGATACACTAAACATAAAAAGCAATGAATTAAAACATAATACCAGAAAAAAAAATCACATAACTGCAAAGGAAGACAGTAAGGAAAAATTTAAAAAATTAAAAAAAAAGAAGAAGCAGCAAGAGTTACAAAACAACCAAAAAATGAAAATAAAATAAAAATTAACAAATAGCAATAGTAAGTCCCTACCTGCTAATAACATTAAATGTAAAGGGGCAAAATTCACTAATTGAAAGATACAGAGTTGCTGAATTAATTAAGAAAAGAAAACAAGGCCCAACTATTATATGCTGCCTGCAAGTAACTCACTTTTCTTATAAAGACAGAAACTGAAAGTGAAGAGATAAAAAAAGGTATTCCATACACATAGAGACCCCAAAAGAGAAGGAATAGCAGTGCTTATGCCAAATAAAATAGACTTCAAATCATTACTGTAAAGAAAGACAAAAAAGTCACTATATAATGATAAAGGGGTCAGTTTGAGAGGATGTAGCAACTGTAAATATATGTGCACCCAAAAACAGAGCACCCAAAATATAGAGCAAACGTTAATAGATCTAAAGATTGAGCTAGATTGCATTATAATAATAGTTGGGGACTTCAACACCCCCTTACAGAATAAACAAATCATCCAGAGATATAAAAACAAAGAAACATAGGAGTTAAATGATACTCTAGACCAAATGAATCTAGCTGACTTTTACAGAATATTTCATCTAACTGTGTCAGAATACACATTCTTCTCATGAACACATAAAACATTTTCCAGAATACTGTATTTGTTAGGACACAAAAAAATGTCTGAACACATTTTTAAGAAGTTGAAATAATTACAGTGTTTTATTCTGACCACAGTGGAAAATTAAAACTCAATAACAAGAGGAATGTAGGACACTACAAATACACGGAAATTGGCCACGCGTGGTGGCTCACGCCTGTAATCCCAGCACTTTGGGAGGCCGAGGCGGGCGGATCATGAGGTCAGCAGATCGAGACCATCCCGGCTAACACGGTGAAACCCCGTCTCTACTAAAAAAAAGAATACAAAAATTAGCCGGGCGTGGTGGCGGGCGCCTGTAGTCCCAGCTACTCAAGAGGCTGAGGCAGGAGAATGGTGTGAACTCGGGAGGTGGAGCTTGCAGTGAGCTGAGATCACACCACTGCACTCCAGCCTGGGTGACAGAGTGAGACTCCATCTCAAAAAAAAAAAAATACACGGAAATTAAGCAACATGCTTCTGAATGATCAATGAATGAAACAAAAAATTAAGTTGGAAATTGTAAAATGTTTTGAAACAAATACAAACAGAAACAGCACTCCAAAATGCATGGAATACAGCCAATGCAGTACTAAAATGCAATTTTATAGCAATAGGTGCATAAAGAAGACAATTAGAAAGATTTCAAATTTAAAAAATACTAACAATGCACATAACCTAACCATGCACCTCAAGGAAGTAGAAAAGCAAGAAGAAACCAAATCCAACATAAGTTGAAGGAAATAAACAATAAAGGTCAGAGCAGGAATAAATAAAATCGAGACTAAAAGATACAACAAAAATCAACAAAATTAAAAGTTCTGTTTTTGAAAAGGTAAAAATAATTGAAAATCCTTTCTAAACTAAGAAAAAGAGAGGGAAGACCAAAATAAATAAAATCAGAAATTAGAAAGAAGATGTAACAACAGATACCACAGAAATACAAAAGACTACTAGAGACTATTAAAAACAACCCTATGTCAACAAATTGGAAAACCTCTAGGTTGAATAAATTCCTGGACATATACAACCTCCCAAGACTGAACCAGGAATAAATAAAAAACATAAGTAACAAGATCAAAAGTGTAATAAAAAGTCTGTCAGAAAAGAAAAGCCCAGGACCTAATGGCTTCACAACCAAATTCTACAAACATTTAAATAAGAACTAATACAAATTTTATTCAAACTATTCCCCAAAAAAAGAAGAGGAGACAATATTTCTACACTTGTTGTACAAGACCAACCTTATCCTAATACCAAAATAGAACTTAAGAAAAAAGAAGGTGGGGCGTGGTGGCTCATGCCTGTAACCCCAACACTTTGGGAGGCCAAGGTGGGCGGATCACCTGAGGTCAGGAGTTTGAGACCAGCCTGGCCAACATGGCAAAACCCCGTCTTTACTGAAAAAATACAAAAATTAGCCAGGCGTGGTGGTGGGTGCCTGTAGTCCCAGCTACTCGGGAGGCTGAGGCAGGAATATTGCTTGAACCCAGGAGGCGGAGGTTGCAGTGAGACGAGATCGCGCCACTACACTCCAGCCTGGGCGACAGAGTGAGGCTCCGTCAAAAAAAGAAAAAAAGAAAAAGATAAAATAAAACTACAGGCCAGGATTCTTGATGGACATAGATGTAAAAATCTTCAACAAAATAATAGCAAAGCAATCACAAAAACATATTAAAAAGATCAATCACCAGGATCAAGTAGAGAGTCAAGGATAATTCAACATGTGTAAATGCATAAACATGATACATCACATTAACAGAATCAAGGGCAAAAACCATGTAATCATTTCAATAGATGCTGAAAAATTATTCAAAAAAATTCAACATTTTTATGATAAAAAGTTTCAATGAACTGAGTATGAAAGAAACATACCTCAATACAGTAAAGGCTATATAGGATAAACTTACAGCTTACATCACACTGAACAGGAAAAAAATGAAAGCTGTTTCTCTAAGTTTTGGAACAAGACAAAGATGCCCACTTTCATCATTTTTATTCAATATACTGGAAGTCCTAGCCAAAACAATTAGGCAAGAGATAGAAATAAAGGACATCCAAATTGGAAAAGGAAAAAATCAAATTATCCTTGATTGCAGACAACATAATTTTACATTTAGAAAAATCTAAAGAGTACACCCGTGCCAGGCGCGGTGGCTCACGCCTGTAATCCCAGCACTTTGGGAGGCCAAGGCAGGTGGATAACGAGGTCAGGAGATCGAGACCGTCCTGGCTAACAGGATGAAACCCCGTCTCTACTAAAAGTACAAAAAAAATTAGCCGGGTGTGGTGGTGGGCGCCTGTAGTCCCACCTACTCAGGAGGCTGACGCAGAAGAATGGCGTGAACCCAGGAGGCAGAGCCTGCAGTGAGCTGAGATCATGCCACTGCACTGCAGCCTAGACAACAGAGCGAGTCTGCCTCAAAAAAAAAAAAAAAAAAAAAAGAGTACACCCAAAAATTGTTCGACCAGAAATAAATCTAATAAAGCTGTAGAACACAAAATCAGCAAAGAAGAATCAGTAGCATTTTTGTACACCAATAGCAAACAATCTGAAAAGGAAATTAAGAAAGCAATCTCATTTAAGACAGCTACAAGAAATATAATATATCTAAGAATAAATTTAGCCAAAGATGTGAAAGATCTATAGAAAGAAAACTATAAAAAGGTGGTTTTGAAAATTGAAGAGGACACAAAAAAATGAAAAGATAGTCCATGTTCATATTCAAATAATATTGTTAAAATGTTTATACTACCAAAATGATCTCCAAATTCAATGTAATTCCTATCAAAATACAAATGATGTACTTAACAGAAATAGAAAAAATAATTTCTAAAATTTTTATGGAACAACAAAAAATCCTGAATAGACAAAGCACTCCTGAGCAAAAGGAACAAAGCTGAAAACATCATACTACCTGACTTCAAAAATATATTACAACACCAAAGTAACGAGAAGAGCATGCTACTGGCATAAAAACAGACACACAGACCAATGGAACAGAATAGGGAACCTAGATACAAATCCACATACCTACAGCCACCTTATTTTCAACAAATGTGCTGTGTTAGTTCATTCTTGCATTGCTATAAAGAAATACCTGAGGCTGGTTAATTTATAAATAAAAAAGGTTTATTTTGGTTCACATTTCCATAGGCTGTATGAGAAGTATGGTGCTGGTATCTGCTCCTGCTGATGCCTCAGGAAGCTTCCAATTATGGCAGAAAGTGAAAGGAAGCCAGAGTATCACATGCTGAGAATAGGAACAAGAGAAAGAGAAGGGAGAGGTTCTAGACTCTTTTAAACAACTAGATCTTGAGATTAGTGAGAACTCACTCATCAACAAGAGGATGGCACTAAGCCACTCCTTATGGATCTGCCCCCATGATCCAATACCTCCCACTAGGCCCCACCTCCAATATTGGAGATCACATTTCAGCATGAGATTTGGAGGAACACACATCTAAACAATATCAGACAGTAAGAACATACGTTTGGGGAAACAGCAGTCTCGTCAATAGATGGTGCTGAGAAAACTGATTAACCATATGCAGAAGAATCATGCTAGACCCATTTTCTCCCTTTATACAAACATTGAATCCAAATGGATTAAAGTCTTAAATGTAAGCTGTAAAACTATGAAACTACTAGAAAATAGTGAGAAAATGCTTCAGGACATTGGTCTTGGCAAAACATTTTTGAGCAAAACCTCAAAAGTACAGGTAACCAAAGCCAAAATAGACAAACAGGATTACATCAAACTAAAAAGTTTCTGCACAGCAGAAACTTGACAGTGAAAGCTGACAGTTGATTGGTTGTCACCAGAGACTGAGGAATATAGGGTGGGGTGAAGAAGAGAGATGAGTTGATGGGCACAAAAATGCAGTTAGATAGAAGGAATAAGATCTAATGTTTGATAGTAAAGTACAGAGACTATAGTTAATAATTTGTTGTGTAGATCAATGATATCTACACAATCAATGCAAGAGATATTGCAATGATTTCACTATAAAGAAAGTGAAGAGGAAGTCTTCAAAATGGGAGAAAAACATTTACAAACTTTTCATCTGATGAGGGTTTAATAACCAGAATATATAAGTCACTCAAGCAACTCAAGAGCAAAAATAATAAATACAGTTGACCCTTAAAAAACACAGATTTGAACTGCATGGATCCTCTTATACTGGAATTTTTAAAAATCAATATATTGAAAAATACTTTGGAGATTTGTGACAATTTGAGAGAAACTCATACTCAACCGTATAGCATAGAGATACCAAAAATATTTTTAAAAGGTATTTCATGAATGCAAAAAAATATGCATAGATACTAGTTTATTTGATTCACTGTGAGACACGAGTAATCTCTGCATGAGTAATTTGTCTCTCCAGGAAATTGTGTATCACAGTAAAAAGTAATCTCCCATGGTTCTTCTTTATTTTTCATTGTGTTTAGTGCAATACTTCAAACCTTGCATAACACCATGGGACCTATATAAAGTGCCACTAGTGCTTCTGGAAGTGCTCCCAAGAAGCAGAGAAAAGTCATGATTTTACAAGAAAAAGTTGAATTGTGTGATATGTACCATAGATTTAGATTTGCAGCTGTGGTTGCTTGTCATTTCAAAGCATTCATATTTTAAATAGACAAGGTAAACTTACAGTATCAATAAATACAGTGTATTACTATAAATGTATTTTCTTTTTCTTATGATTTTCTTGATAACATATTCTTTTCTCTAGCTTACCTTATTGAAAAAATATATTATATAATACATATAACAGACAAAGTATCTGTTAACTGTTTATATTACCACGAAGGCTTCTGGCCAACAGTAGACTATTAGTAGTTATGTTTCTGGGAAGCCAAAATTTATACATGGATTTTTGACTACACAGGAGTCAGTGCTTCTAAATCTCATGTTGTTCAATAATCAATTGTAATCTGATGAGAAAAAGATCTGAATAGACATTTCTCAAAAGGAGGCTGCAGATGGCCAACAGGTATATGGAAAAAATACTCTCAACATCATTAACCATGAGGGAAATGACAATAAAAAACACAAAGAGATATTATCTCACCTCAGTTAAAATGTCTTTTATAAAAAAGACAAAAAATAATGGATGCTGATGAGGATGTGAAAAAAGAGAAATACTCATACACTGTTAGTGGGAATGTAAATTAGTACACACACTGTGGAAAACAGTACAAAAGTTCCTCAAAAGCTGAAAATGAAAATACCATATAATTCAGCAATCCCACTGCTGGGTATATATCAAAAAGAAAATAAATCAGTATATGAAGAGATATCTGCACTCCCATATTTATTACAGCACTGCTCACAATAGCCACGATGTAGAATCAACCTGTGTCCATCAAAAGATAAATGGATGAATAAAATGTGATGACATATACACAATGTAATATTATTCAGCCATAAAAAAGAATGGCATCCTGTCATTTGCAACTATATGGGTGAAACTGGAAGCCTTTATGTTAGGTGAAATGTTCAGCACAGAAAGACAAGTATCACTGTTTCTACCATATGTGAGAGCTAAAAAAAGTGAATCTTATGAAAGTTGACAGTTAATTGGTGGTCACCAGAGGCTGAGAAATATGGGGTGGGGTGAAGAAGAGAGATGAGTTGATGGGCACAAAAATGCAGTTAGATAGAAGGAATGAGATCTAATGTTTGATAGTAAAGTAGAGTGACTATAGTTAACAATAATTTGTTGTGTAGATCAAAATTATTGGAGAAGAGATATTGCAATGATTGTACTATAAAGAAGGGGTGAATGTTTGGAGTGAAGGCTGTCCCAATTGCCCTGGCTTCATCATTACATATTGTATGCCTGTATCAAAATTTTACCAAATACTCCCAGGATATATACAACCATTACACATGAATAACAAATCAGGAAATAAAATAGACTTGACATCAAATATATCAGTCATATAAATAAATATGACTACACTTAACCAACTTATTAAAAATGATTTTCAAATTGACTTTCTAAAGAAAACCTATCTGCTAAGTACAATCAACATACCTTAAGTAGTGCTTTGGTAAAAGTCTTCAAAACATGGAAAAAAGATGGCCCATGATAAGTGAAACAAAAATGCTGGAATTGCTCAGACATACTCTGAAAAAAGGGGAATAAAAGTTTCAGGTAGATGAACATGTTGAAATGCATGTATTATGTATGGTTGGAAGACCTACCAGGTGATTATGTTATTGGGAAGAACTAAGTACATTTATTTACCAAGACCATAAATAATGCACTGGTGAGAGGAAGTTGGAGTCACATAAGAATCTAAAATTACATGTGTAAATCTCTAATTATATTTTCATTTATTTCAAGTCCCGCTTTTTCAGAAGCCAGACATATCCTGGAAAGTGATGGTACAGGGTCACACCTTCAACCAAGCAGTGGTCCTAATTATTGTGATCGCTAAGCTAGATGTAGTAACTTTGCAACAGCAGATTAACACAGCCTAATATACATGGTGTGAAGACATTATTTGGGGAATAAATTCTTTTCTATGTCAATCAGGAAAGGGAAATCAAAGACAATGTATATTATTTTACGACAGAAAATAATGTGTATTTTTTATTTTCTCTCCTAGGGCCATTCTACCTGTAATATAGTCCAAACAAGTCTGGGTCATCTGGACATCCCATAAAACATCACATTGATGATTTTACAATGATCAGGCCAGATAGCATGAAGTTGCTAGCATGCTGAAGGCCTTTGCAAAACACGTGAGCTCCAGGGCATAGGAAACAAGCCCTATGAAAATTAAGGGATTTATGGAGAGTCTTTGGTCCTGGAGGCAGTAGAGTTCACACTTGGTAATACTGCTCTAGCCCATGTGTTGTTTGACACAAAATTTTTCAGCTTTGACTGGGGACTAGAGCACAAACTGGCTCTGGAGACAGTCTGAACTAGCATACATGTGGAATGGGACATACAGTACAGCAGACCATGTGGTGTAGGATCAATGTTAAGAAAAGATGTAGTTTGAACTTTGTGGCAAGGCACAGTGAGAGAATCATAATACCTCTGTTCTTCTAATGCAAACCCATCGCATCTTTAGAAGACAATTAAACACATTTTGAACAACAATCTATGGCATAATATTAGGCCCTTACAGAAACATAACACCTGATCATGGTTCATGTAGCACTATTTCTTGAAAGCAACCACCCACTTGGCAGCAAGTTAACTATGCCAGACTCTCTTTATTCTGAAAAGGACAGCAATTTTTCCTCATGGATATAGGTATCAGTTCTGGGTACATTTTTGGTTTTTTCTTTTCCACATAGCTTCAGCCAGCACCATTTTCCAAAGGATTATAGAATTTTTTTTATCTACCAGCATGAAATTTCATTTAATATCAAAACAGTCCAGGGAATCCTCTTTATAACAGAGGAAGGGTAAGAGTGAGACCATAACCATGGGGTCCCCTGGTCATATTACGTACCTGCACCATCTAAATTTGCTGACCTGATAAAGCATTAGATGGTGAGCTGAATGTATAGCTGAAATACCTACATAGCTTGAAGGGAATGCATGAAAAAATGGTGCCTTTTACCAGGATGCAGTATATGTGTTAACTCAAACATATCAATACAGCACTGTGTCCTCAATAGGAAGAGTGCACGGAGTTCAAAAAACAAACAGTAGGAAAAAGAATGAGCCCAATAACACACATTTATATTCTCAATAAAACACTGAGGCATTGTGCACGTCTTGTTTCAAAACATTCAGAACCCCTTGTTTTTGAAACTAGAAGCAAAAAAGAGAAATCACTATTTTAAAAACAGAAACTGGCTTGGATTATCAGGAGGAGGGAGTTACTAATACACCACAAAAGTCAGGAGAAAAATTGATAAAATCCAGGTGATCCACTTAGGTAACTTTTGGTACTGTTTGGCTTAATTGTGATGGTAAATGGAGGGGACAGTACTCTTGGCCTTATATGGGAGCTCAGGTGGGCCTGTCTATTGAGACAGGGGCTCAGATCCCTCACATATGAGTCTGTGGGTCAAAATATCAAGAAACCATCAAAGCCAGAAGAGGTTCTAGCTGAAGGTGAAGAGAATCTAGACTGGGTTGTGAAGAAAGAAAACAGTGGCTGTTAACTGTAGACCTGAGACTCTCTCGTATGTTTCCCATCAGAAAGAGAAGTTCACTAGTCTCCTAATGAAAGAGTTCCCTGGGTGTATATGAAGATGTGGAGCTAAGTTGCACAAGAGATGGCATGTATCAGACAAAAAGATGTGTCTCCTAGATCCACCTTTATAGAAAGTGGGGCTGCTCAACTGAAGGAAATGCAGTTGGCAATCTCCAGCGCCCGGCTCCTTCAGGGTCTGCCTTAGATGCAGAGTGCTACCTCACCAAGGTCATAGAGTCCCCAGGGTAGCCCACATGTGATAACTGAACAAGGTGGGCGTACAAAAGTCTAGCCATATTTGCCTGTCATAGGACAAACAAACTTTGTCTCACTCTCTTCTGAGAACCAAGCCTGTGACACTTGAATATTTCCAAAAGCAAACAACAGAATATTTACTAACCAATGGCTTTCTGCTCTAACACCAATGCTCAGGGAGGAAGCCTAGAGGTATTCTCATATGTTGGCCTTATCCCACTGAAATTTTACAAAGTATAGCACTTTCATGTGAGGAGAAATGTTACAAATTACATTAATGGGACTCTATGGTCCATATAAGTCTTTATTTTAATGAGTTGAATTATAATGAATTTGATTTTTATTATCTCCCAGGGTGATTTTATAATTGATACAATCACCTTTCTCCAATAACTTCCTCCTTTAGCTACTTAATTCCATCTTGCTTGTTTTCTTTCTTAGTTTCCCTATGCTATTATAATAGGATGCTAATAAGTACCCCCTATTATAATAATGAGAAACAGTGTCTTTCCCATATAAAAGAAATGCTTTAACAGATTTCTTTCCTGCAAATGAGTTAGAGAACCCTTCCTTCATCAAGTCAATCTAGGGACACCTATTCATGTCAGTATTTTCAGAGAGAACTCTGAGCTGGACGTAAGGATCCCAATGTTCTTATTCTGGTTATGTGTGGTCTCCAATTAAGTTAGTCTTTCTGACCCATAGTAGTCATATTTTTTCCATGGAGATATTATCTTCTCTATATCATCATGTTATTGTTGTAGAATCTGAAAAGTTCTTATGAGAAAGTACATTGAAAAGTTCATAATACCTTACATTATAGAATGATTTTATTACCCAAGGCATATCTTTGAAAATGTCTGAGATATTAACTCATTCTTTAAATTTAGCTAAATAATGTTTTGAATTAATTTGATTCTAATCAATAGAACTGTTGATATAGCTGCAAACAGGGAACAATTAAACATGTAATCATGAGATATAAAAGAGTGAAGCAATATTGTGAGAATTCGCTCATATTCATGCTAAAATGTTTTGGATTGTTTAAAAACAGCAAAATAGAACAACGGAAATAAAGCCTTGTCTGAAATAAAATAATATCCAAAAAAATCACCATCTAATAAATCTAAAATTAGCCTGAATTGTTCCATTGCATTGTAATGAAAAAAATGTATAAATCAACAAGCTTTGAAAAGATAGATAAATCATTAGATAAAAATAACACAGGATTACTCCAAACAAATTATATTCAACAAACTTTATGGCTGTGCAACACTCATTTCCAAAATAATAAAGAAAATGCATCATGAACTGCATATTGGGATCTTACTGAAGTACTTGATCACCATGGCTCATAAAATTTTACTGGTAAAAAATTAGTAAAATTAGTTTTATATGAGCAGAGGAGTGTGGCCTGAAACCTTAGAACAAAATTAAGGAAGTCAGAGTGGAGGATAAATTGGGATGTGCTCAGTGGTTGCCAGTTTTTGGTCTGTAGAGTGACTTCATAAACTCTCCTGGGCCTTCATTAATGGGTGGGACATATGTACACAAATATGCCTAGCGCCTGCCTCAGACCTCCTAATAGAGAATCTCGGTAGTGGAACTGGAGAATCTGTATTTTGAACAAGATGTCTCAGGTGATACAGATTTGCTGCCATGTTTGTGGATTACTAGCATGACCATGTATATTGTAAAGGGGATACCTTAGCTCAACCAATAGCCAGAATGCCAGGTTCATTTAGAATGTATATGCAAGTGTGTTATCTGGAAGAAAGAGGTAATATAATTATTCTGAGACACTAAGCAAGATTGCATTGCCAAACCAAATCCAGAGAACATTGGACCCACATGCATTCTCTGCCTGCCAATAAAAACATCCTCTTCAGATTCATACTGCATGTGAGCCTCTAGGTGTGCCAGTTCTGTCACAAGAATGCATTCTCTCTACACTAATTAAGCCAGAATTATGATTCTAATCTGGTACTTCCAAAAATTTTCTTAGAGAAGATAAGTGTTTCATGGCTAAAAATGTTCGATTACTAAGTAAACGTGGGGAACTTGGGTTAACAAAGTTAAATGGGTTTCTTTACTGTAGGGCTTTTAAGAAGCCCTTTTAATATGTACTGTGGACTTCAAATATAAGCCACAAGACACAGTATTTCAAAACACTTTTATAAAAGTGTTTCACTCTTGTATATCTCATTATCATGTCCATGAGACACTTAAATTTCACAGGATGTATCTCTTGGGTCTAGTATTCTAGACCCAAGTGGAACACACTTTTGGAATCACTTTTATGTGTACTCAAAATCCCAGTTCTTTTTGTTTGTTTGTTTTAAATTTACTTACTTTTTTTATTTCAATATGTTTTGGGGGAACAGGTGATGTCTGGTTACATGAATAAGCTCTTTAGTGGGGATTTCTAAGATTTTGGTGCTCCCATCACCAATCACCTAAGCAGTGTTCACTGTACCCAATGTGTACACTGTACCCAAGGTGTGCTCTTTTATCCCTCACCCACCTCCCACCCTTTCCCCGAGTCCCCAAAGTCCATTGTATCATTGTTACATCTTTGGGTCCTCATAGCTTAGCACCTGCTTATGATGTGCTGTTACCTTAAGCTTGCTAGGATTTTGTCGAGGATTTTTGCATCAATGTTCAGGGAGATTGGTCTGTAGTTTTCTTTTGTTGTTATATCCTTTCCTGGCTTTGGTATCAGGGCAATACTGGCTCCCTAGAACAAGTTAGGGAAGATGCCCTCTTTCTCAGTTTTTTGGAATAGTTTCAGTAGGATTGGTACCAATTCTTCTTTGAAGGTCTGATAGAATTCTGCTGTGAATCCATCAGGCTCTGGGCTTTTGTTGTTGTTGTTGTTGTTGTTGTTGTTGTTGTTGTTGGCAATTTTTTAAATTACTGATTAAGTCTCACTCCTTGTTATTGGTCTGTTTAGGATTTCTATTTCTTCCTGATTCAAACTAGGAGGGTTTAATGTTTCCAGGAATTTATCCATTTCCTCTAGATTTTTCTATTTTGGGCACATAGAGGTGTGCATAGTGTCTCTAATAATCTTTTGTATTTCTGTGGTGTCTTGATTGTAATGTCTCCATTTCCATTTCTAATTGAGCTTATTTGAAACTTCTCTCTTCTTTTCCTGGTTAATATAGCTAATGGTCTATCACGTTTTTGTTTCTTTTCAAATAAACATTTGTTTTGTTTTATTGATCTTTGTATTTTTGGTTTTAATTCATTTAGTTTTTCTCTGATCTTTGTTATTTGTTTACTTCTGCTAGATTTGGGTTTGGTTTGCTTTTCTTTCTCTACTTCCTTGAGGTGTGATGTTAGGTTGCCAACTTGTGATCCTTCAGGCTTTTTGATGCAAGTATTTAATGCTCAATTTTTCTCTTAGCACTGCTTTTGCTTTATTCCAGAGGGTTTGATAACTTATGTCACTATTATGATTCATTCTGGATAATTTTAAAATTTTAATCTTGATTTTATTGTTAACACAAAAATTATTCAGGATCAGATTGTTTAAGTTCTATGTACTCTTATACTTTGGAGGATTCCTTTTGGAGTTGATTTCCAGTTTTATTCCACTGTGATGTAAGAAGATACTTGACATAATACTGATTTTTAAAAAATTTATTGGGACTTGTTTTGTGGCCTATCACATGGTCTAATTTGTAGACTGTTCCATGTGTTGATGAGAATAATGTATATTCCATATTTCTCGGGTAGAATTTTATGTAAATATCTGTTAATCCATTAGTTCTAGAGTGAAGTTTAAGTCCAGTGTTTCTTTGTTGACTTTCTGTCTTGATTATCAGTTTACTGGTGTCAGTGAAGTGCTGAAATACCACCCAAATGTTGTGTTGCTATCTATCTCTTTTCTTAGGACTAGTAATAACAGTTTTATGAATCTGGGAACTCTAGAGTTGGGTGCATATATATTTAGAATTGTGATATCTTCTTGATGAACTTATTCTTTTATAATTTAATAATGACCTTCTTTGCCTTTTTTTTTTTAACATTCTTGCTTTAAATTCAGTTTTACCTGCTGTAAGTGCAGCTACTCATGCTCCCTTTTGGTTTCTATTTGTATTAAATATCTTTTGCCACCTCTTTACCCTGAGTTTAAGAGAATCCTTATGTGTTAAGTGAGTCTGTTGAAGACGCAAATAGATGGTTTGTGATTTTTTTTATCCATTCTGCCAATCTGTATCTTTTAAGTAGAACATTTACAGCGTTTACATTCAATGTTAATAATGAGGTGTGAGGTAGTGATCCAGCCATGATGTTGTTTTCTTCATTATGTTATTTTGTTATAGGCCCTGTGAGTTTTAGGATGTCAAGAGGTTCTATTCTAGTGCATGTTGTACTTGTGTTTTAAGCTTTAGAACTCGTTTTAGCATTTCTTGTAGGACTGGTCTGGTAGTGACAAATTAGCTCAGCATGTACTTGTCTGAAAAAGACTTTATTCTCCTTCATTTATGAAACTTAGTTTGGCTGGATATAAAATTATTGGCTGGGACAGAGGTGGAGCATATGGCAGAATACAAGACTCCAGTGATTGCCCCCACCCTCTGCCACAAGGACACCAATTTAATTATCTACACACACACACAGACACACACACACAGCACTTTTGTAAGACCCCCAAATCAGGTGAGCACTCACAGTACTTGGTTTTAACTTCATATTGCTAAAAGAACCACTAAATAGGTAGGAAAAACAGTCTCACCACCACAATCCCTTCCCGACTTGTTACAGCAGAAATCAAAACCAGAACAAACTCTGCTAACACCTGCCTATGGAGGATGCATTTAAACCAGCTGTAGCCAGAGGGGAATCACCGATCCCAATGGTCAGAACTTGAACTTGAGTTCCCACATGCCTTGCTGCCATGGCCTAAAGTGCTCCAGGCAGTCTAGGCCACAAGGACTGTAATACCTGGGCTAGTCTTAGGGCTGAACTGGGCCCAGAGATAGTAGCCTGGGGTGGGGAGACACAGACCTGTTGAGTCACCAGCTGGAGCGGCTAAGTGTGTGCTTGCATAACCCTTCCCATGACCCCAGGCCACATAGCTCAGGCTCCAAAAGAGGCCCCTTTCTTCCACTTGAGGAGACAAAAAAAGTGAGGAGGGCTTTGTCTTGCATCTTGGATACCAGTTCAGCCACAGCAAGATAGGACACCAGTCAAAGTCATGAGGGCCTCTTTCCAGGCCCTAGCTCCCAGACATTTCTAGACATACCCTGGGCCAGAAGGGAACTCATTGTCTTGAAGCGACAATCCAGCCCTAGGAACAGAAGAACCCAGTCTCAGCTGGATTTATCACCTGCTAACTAAAGAGCCTTAGGGCCCTGATTAGCCAGCAGTGATGCCCAGGTACTGTATTGAGGGCTTTGAGTGAGATATGGACTTGCTGGCCTCTGGTGAGACTCAGCATATTCCCAGTTGTGGTGGCTATGGGGTGAGACTCCTTCTGCTTGACCAAAGTAGAGAGAAAAGTAAAGGGGACTTTGTCTTCCACCTTAGTTACAGTTTGGCCACATGGGAGCAGAGCACTAAGCAGGATCTTGCTGTCCCCAATTCTAGGACTTGATTCTTAAAAAGTATTTCAGCATCTTCCCTGGGTCAGAAGGGAGACCACTCCCCTTAAGGGTGAGTCCTAGGCCAGGCAGCGTTCACAACAAGCTGACTGAAGAGGCTTTGGGCCTTAAGGGAACATCAGTGGTAGTCTGGCAATACCCTCTGTGGGCCTGAGGTGGCCACGGCCACTGGGTGAGGCTACTCTGCCTTTGGAAAGAGGATGAAAGAGTGGGAAAGACTGCATCTTGTGGTGAGTGTCAGCTCAGCTTCAGTATAATAGAACACTATGCGAACTTCTACAGTTCTTGACTATAGACCTGGGCTCCCAGATAGCACCTCTGGACCCACCCCTGGGGGAACTCACCACCTTGAAGGGAAAAACATATGCTTGGCTAGCTTTGCCACTTGTTGATTATAGAGTCCCAGCCAGGGAGTGGTTGCATCAGGCCTTGGGTGAGACTCAGCACTGTGCTGGCTTAAGGTCTCCTTCAGGACAGTCCTAGGGGTTGTAGCTACAGGGGTTACTTGTGTCACTCCACTCCCAGCTCCAGGCAGCTCAGAGCAGAGAGGTAGAGACTCCATTTGTTTGGAATAAAGTAAGGGAAAAAACAAGAGTCTCAGCCTGGTAATCCAGAGAATTCTTCCCGATCTTGTTCAAAGCTATTAAGGTGGAAACTCTATGCATCTGAAAGAACCACAGTGCTACTGGGTTTGGTGTCCTCCATAAAGCAGATATAGTTTAGATCACAATACCCAATTCCTTTTGAATATCTGGAAATTCTTCCCCGAAAGGATGGGTACAAACAAACCCAGACTGCAAAGACTACAATAAATACTTAACTCTTCAATGCCCAGACACTGAAGAACATCTACTAGCATCAGCACCATCCAGGAAAACATGACCTCACCAAATTAACTAAGTAAGGCACCAGAGACCAATCATGAAGAAACAGATATATGACTGCTCAGATAATTCAAAATAGCTATTTTGAAGAAACTCAAAGAAAATTCACAATAGCACAGAGAAGGAATTCAGAATTCTATCATACAAATTTAACAAAGAAATTGAAATAAAAAGAATCAAACAGAAATTCTGAGGTTGAAGAATGCAATTGACATACTAAAGAATGCATCAGAGTCTTTTAACAGCAGAATTGATCAAATAGAAGAAAGAATTAGTGAGCTTGAATACAAGCTATTTGAAAATACGTACAGTAGACAAAAGAAAAAAGACTAAAAAACAATGAAGGACACTTACAGAATCTAGAAAATAGCCTAAAAAGGGAAAATCTATGAGTTATTGGCCTTACAAAGGAGATAGAGAGATAGGGGTAGAAAGCTTACTCAGGGAAATGGTAATAGAGAGTTTCCCACACCTAGTGAAAGATATTAATATCCAAGTACTGGAAGGATATAGAACACAAAGCAGTGAAGACTACCTCAAGGCATTCAATAATAAAACTCCCAAAAGTCAAGGGTAAAGAAAGGGTCCTAAAAGCAGCAAGAGAAAAGAAACAAATAACATAAAATGGAGCTCCAATACATCTAGCAGCAGACTTTTCAGTGGAAACCTTATAGACCAGGAGAGGATGTCATGACATACTGAAAGTCCTGAAGAAAGAAATATTTTATCCTAGAATAGTATATCTGGTAAAATTATTCTAAAAACATAAAAAAGAAATACTTTCCCAGACAAACAAAAGCTGAGGGATTTCATCAACACCAGATCTGTCCAACAAGGAATGCTAAAGGGAGTATTTCAATCAGAAAGAAAAGAATGTTAATGAGCAATAAGCGATCAACCAAAGGTACAAAACTCGCTGGTAACAGTAGGTACACAGAAAAACACAGAATATTGTAACACTGCAACTCTGGTATGTAAACTACTATTATCTTATGTAGAAAGACTTAAAAATAAACTAATAAAAATGATAACTACAACTTTTCAAGACATAGGCAATATAATATGGTATAAATAGTAACAACAAAAAGTTAAAAAGTAGGGGGATAAAGTTAAGGCATAGAGTATTAGTTTTCTTTTGGTTGTTTGTTCATGCAAACACTGTTAAATTGCTATCAGCTTAAAATAATGGATCATATGCTAGTATTTGCAAGCCTCGTGGTAACCTCAAAAAAGCATATGATGGATACACAAAAAGTAAAAAAGGAAGGAATTAAATCATCACCAGAGAAAATCATCATCACTAAAAGGAAAAGAGAAAAGAAATAAAGAAAGAAAGAAGAAAAGACCACAAAATGACCAGAAAAGAAATAATAAAATAGCAAAAGCAATCCTTACTCATCAATAGTAACATTGAATGTAAACTGACTAAATTCTCTAATCAAAAGACATAGGGTGATTTAATGAATAAAAAAACAAGATGCATTGATCTGTTGCCTACAAGAAACACACTTCACCTATAAAGACAAACATAGACTGAAAATGAAGGGATGGCAAAAGGTATTCCATGCCAATGGAATCTACAAAAGAGCAAGAGTTGCTATATTTATATCACACAAAATAGATTTAAGGACAAAACTATAGGAAGAGACAAAAGGGTTATGATATAATAATAAAGTGGTCAATTCAGCAAGAGGATATAATGATAGTAAATATATATATGCACCCAGCACTGGATCACCCAGATGTATAAAACAAATATTATTAGATCTAAAGAGAGACATAAACTTCAATACAATAATAGATAGAGACTTAAACACCCCACTTTCAGCATTGGATAGGTCATTCAGACAAAAAAAAAAATCAACAAAGAAACATCAGACTTAATCTGCACTATAGACCAAATAAATCTAATAGCTATTAACAGAAGATTTTATCCAGCAGCTTAACAATACACATACTGTTCCTCAGCACATGGATCATTCTTAAGGATAGACCATATGTCAAGTCACAAAACAAGTCTTAAAGCATTCAAAAAAATGAAATAATATAAAGCTTATCTAATCATGATGGAACAAAACTAGAAATTAATAACAAGAGGAATTTTGGAAACTGTACAAATACATGGAAATTAAAGAAAATACTCCTGAATAATGAATGGGTCAATAAAAAAAATTAAGAAGGAATTTAAAATTTCTTGAAACAAAAGATAATAAAATATGACATATCAAAAGCTGTAGGATACAGAAAAAGAAGTACTAAGAGAGAATTTTATAGCTATAACTGTCTGAATCAAAAAAGAAGAAAAACTCCAAAGAAACAACCTACCAGTGTAAGCAACTAGAAAAACATGAGTGAACCAAACCAAAAATTAGTAGAAAAAAAATAATGAATATCAGTGCAGAAATAAAGGACATTGAAATAAAGAAAACTATGCAAAAGATCAAAGAAACAGTAAGTTGGTTTTTTTAAGAGTTAAACAAAATAGACAAACCTTTAGCCAGAATAAGAAAAATAAAAGAGACCCAAATAAATAAAATCAGAGATTAAAGATGAGACATTACAACCGATACTGCAGAAATGATCATTACCAGCTACTATGAGCAACTATATACCAATATGTAGAAAAATCTAGAAAAAATGGACAAAATAGTAGACACATACGACCTACTAAGATTGAACAATGAAGAAATCTAAAACCTGAACAGACCATTAACAATTAACAGTATTAAAGCTGTAATAAAACACCTCCCAGTAAAGAAAAACCTGGGACCCGATGAATTTACTGCTGATACTTGCCAAACATTTGAAGTAAAACTAATACCAATCTTACTCAAACTATTCCAAAAAATAAAAGGGGAGAAACTACTTTCAAACTCATTCTACAAGGCTACTATTACCCTGTTACCAAAACCACGCAAAGACAAAAAATAAAAATAAAAATAAAAACTACCTGCAGTCCAATGATCATTCATCATGACCAAGTGGGATTTATACCTCGCATGCTATAAGCAAATTAATCAATGTGATACATCGTGACAACAGAACAAAAGACAAAACCCATATGATCATTTCAATTGATGCTGAAAAGCATTTGGTAAAATTCAACATCCCTTTATGATAAAATCCTTCAAAAAAAAAAAAAGGAATAGAAGGAATGTACTGCAACATAATAAAAGCCTTATATGACAGACCCACAGCTAGTATCATACTGAATGGGGAAAAATGGCAAGCCTTTTCTCTAAGATCTGGAACACAACAGGGATGCCCACGTTCACCACTGTTATTCAACATAGTACTGAAAATCCTAACTAGAGCAATCAGACAAGAGAAAAATATGAAGGACATCCAAATTGAAAAGAAAGAAGTCAAACTATTCTTGTTACATATGTTATATAATATTCACAAAAACCTGAAAACTCCACAAAAAAACTGTTAGACCTGGAAACCAAATGCAGTAAATTTGCAGAGTGCAAAATGAACATACAAAAATTATTAACATTTCTATATGCTAATAGTGAACAATCTGAAAGAGAAATTTTAAAAGTAGTCCCATTTACAATAGCTACAAATAAAATTAAATACCTAGGAATTAACCAAAGAAAGTAAAAAAATCTCCACAATGAAAACTATAAAACACTGATGAAATAAAGAGGACACCAAAAAATGAAAATATATTCCGTCCTCACGGATTGAAGGAATCAATATCATTAAAATGTCCATACTACCCAAAGCAATCTACAGATGCAATGAAATCCCTCTCAGAATACCAGTAACATTCTTCACAAAAATAAAAATAAAAAATTCTAAAATTTATATGGTACTACAAAAGACCCAGAATAGCCAAAGTTATCCAAAGCAACAAGAACAAAATGGAAGGAATCACATTACCTGACTTCTAATTATACTACAGAGTTACAGTAACCAAAGCAGCATGATACTGGCATAAAAACAGATACACATACCAATGGAACAGAATAGAGAACCAAGAAACAAATCCACACTCCTACAGTAAACTCATTTTTAACAAAGTTGCCAATAATATACACTGGGGCAAGTCAGTCTCTTCAATAAATGATGCTAGAAAAGCTGAATAGCCACATGAAGAAAGATAAAATTAGACTCTATCTCTTGCCATTTACAAAAATCAATCAAAGTAGATTAAGGACTTAAATCTAATACCTCAAACTATGAAACTACTACAATAAAACATTGAGAAAATGCTCCACGACATCAGCCTGGCCAAAGATTTCTTGAGTAATACCCCACAAGCACAGGAAATCAAAGAAAAAAATGGACAAATTGGATCACTACAAGTTAAAAATCTGCACAGCAGAGGAAACAATGAACAAAGAGCACAGACAACTAACAGAATGGGAGAAAATATCTGCAAACTATCCATCTGACAAGGGATTAATAATCAAAATACATAAGGAGCTTAAGCAACTGATTAGGAAAATATCTAATAATCCAATTTAAGAATGGGTAAATTGTTTGAATAGACATTTTTCAAAAGAAGACATACAAATGGCAAATGAACATATGAAAAGTTGGTCAACATCATTAAGAAATGCAAATCAAAACTACAATGAGATATCATCTCACCCAGTTAAAATGGCTTTTATTCAAAACACACGCAATAATAAATGCTGGTGAGGATGTGGAGAAAAATGAACCCCCATACACTGTTTGGAATGTAAATTAGTACAACCACTATGGATAACAGTTTGAAGTTTCCTCAGAAAACTAAAAATAGAGCTACTATACAATTCAGTAATTCCACTTCTGGCTATACATCCAAAAGAAAGGAATCAATATATCAAAGAGATATCTGCACTCTCATGTTTGTTGCAGCTCTTTTCACAATAGCCAAGATTTGGAAGCAATCTAAGTGTACATCAGCAGATGAATGGATAAAGAAAATGTGGTATTTATACACAGTGGAGTACTATTCAGCCATAAAAGCAAAATGGAATTCAGTCATTTGCAACAACATGGGTGGAACTGCAGGTCCTTATATTAAGTGAAAAAATCCAGGCACAGAAAAACAAACATCACATGTTCTCATGTATTTGTGGGATCTAAAAATAAAAATAATTGAACCCATGGAGAGAGAGTAGAAGGATGGTTACCAGATGCTGGGAAGGGTAGGGGAGGTAGTGGTGGGGAGGTCGGAATGGTTAAGGGGTACAAAAAATTGAATGAATGAATAATAAGGCTTAGTATTTGATAACATAACAGGGTGACTACAGTCAATACAAATTTAATTGTATGTTTTAAAATAATACAATTGTATTGTTTGTAACACAAAGGATAAATGCTTGAGGGATGGATATCCCATATCCCATAATGTGATTATTATGTATTGCATACCCATATCAAAACATTTCATGTCCTCCATAAATATATACATCTTCTATGCACTCACAAAATTAAATAGAATTTTTTTTAATTTAAAAAATTCTTGACTGACAGTCAATTCTCTTTAAGGAGTCTAAAGATAGAATCCCATTCCTTTCTGGCTTTGAAGGATTCTGCTGAGAAGTTTGCTGTTAGTTCAATAGGCATTCCTTTCTAGGTTACCTGATGTTTTGTTCTCACAGCTCTTAGAATTCTTCCCTTCACATTGACTTTAGATTGTCCAATGAACATATGCCTAGGTGATACCCTTTTTGCACTGAATCTCCCAGGAGTTCTTTGAGCTTATTGTATTTGGATGTTTAAATCTCTAGCAAGGTCAGGGACGTTTTCCTCAATTGTTCCCTCAAATAAGTTTTCCAGGGCTGGATGTGGTGGTTCATGCCTGTAATCCCAGCCCTTTGGGAGGCTGAGGTAGGTGGACCACATGAGCCCAGGAGTTCAAGACCACGCTGTTGCAACAGGTGTGCAACCCTGTCTCTACAAAAAATTACAAAAAAATAGCAAGGTGTGGTGGCACGTGCCCGTAGTTACTGCTACTCGGCAGACTGAGATGGGAGGATTACTGGAGCCCTGGAGGTCAAGGATGCAGTTAGCTGTGATTGTGCTACTGCACGCCAGCCTAGGCAACAGACTGAGAATGTCTCAAGAAAAAGTTTTCCAAACTTTGTGCTTCTTCTCTCTCAGGAATGCCAGTGATTCTTAGGTTTGGCCATTTTGCATAATCCCAAATTTCTTGGAGACTTTATACATTTCTTTAATTTTTTTTTCTGTATGTTTGTATGATTGCATTAATTCGAAAGCTTTGTTTTCAAGCTATGAAATTCTGTCTTCTATTTGGTCTATTCTATTTTTAAAAGTTTCCACTGCGTTTTGTAATTTCCTAAATATATCTTTCTTTTTCATAAGTTCTAGTTGGTTTTTCTTTAAAATTTCTATCTCTTTACAAAAGTTTTCACGTATGTCCTGAATTGTTGCTTTTAAATTTCCTTAGGCTGATTTTCACCTTTCCATTGTATCTGCTTGAGTAACTTAGTAATAAAACTTTTGCTTTCTTTATCTGATATTTCAAAGATTTCATCTTGGTTTGGATCCATTTCTGGAGAGCTAGTGTGATTTTTGGTGTGTCAGGGAACTCTATTTATATTGCCAGAATTATTTTTCTTGTTCCTTTTCATTTGGGTAGACTGTCTTCTAATTATTTTTGAAATTATTTTTGATTTGACTTTTTAAAAAATTCCCCCTTTAGGATGACTTTAATGATTTCAGTCCGTTGTAATTAAATTTGGATCTGACTTCTTTAGGGTGTGAAGACTTTGTGTGAGTTTCTTTGTTATAAAGAGACTTTGTATGATGGCTTCTCAGATTATGTTTGTAGTAGCAAAGTGGTAGGTGTGCAAGCATTTTCACTGTCTCTTGTGGGGTTGAAATGGAAGAGGTCCCTTGAAGATTATCTCATTCTCCAGTGGTGTGCACTTTTTGTTTTACTTTTTCCTCAGTATTTTATTTATTGGGTCGAATAGTTCACATTTCAGGCCAGTAAGGAAGGTGCCCATGGGAAAAAAACTGGATGTGTCTAAAGCAGGTGGGTAAATGAAATACCCAGTGGTGGACAGAGATCCCAGCCTTGACAGAGGTGGCTGGGGAGCTCTTAGTGAAATGTGCTGAAGTCTTTTCATGGGGAAGGGAGGGAGCCACCTCAACTCCCCTGCTAGGGCGGGAGGAAAGTGATCCACCTCCCTCCCAGTCACACTCCTGACTCAGTGTTCCAGCTATTCAGATCAGACAGGCTCCTCTTTTTATTTGCAGGAATGTAGATGTTCCATGTAGAGACAGAATTTGACTCTACCTCTCAGGCAAGTGCGAACCTAGAATGCCCTCCTTCTGTCGGGATGCCATCACCCTGAAGTATTCCAGAAAAGCTGCCTACAGGTGTACCCATGCCAAGCACCCGTGGAGGAAGCCCCAACTGTGTCTGCAGTGGTGGATGAGGAGAAAAGACATCTCTTTCTCTAAGATTCTTCTTGAGCACCAGGGCTGCCTGACTGTTGAGGTGGAACTGCAGTCTTCCCCCATTGAGCCCAGAACTGTACCTATGCCTCTACTGAAAGAAATTTTTCACAAGCAGAAAATTCTGAGACTCAAGGCCACCACCTGGATTCTTTCGTTCCATAGGGTGCTTCTTTAATGTGATGCACCTCCCTGCCTCTGCCCCAGGAGTAGGAGTCCCTAAGAGATTACTATGAATACTGCTGCTTCTCTGGGTCTAGACACCCAACTGGACTGCCACACCCTAGGTGGTGCTGGGAAATATCTGCATGGGATCCAGTGATGTGACCTATTCTCAAGACTTCCAGCAGTGGGTACCAGCATCAGCTCTGATGGGGGTAGCAGAGGAGTGAGGTAGACTCTGTGAGATTCCTTGATTACAAATAGGCTTAATGTGTTGGTCTTCTCAAATGCCAGTTGTAGTAGTAATGAACTGGTCATGTGGACACAGTCAGGACCAACTGGTTATCCTGGGTGACACGGGCAATGGTGATAGATAAGGTGACACAAGTTATCTCCTTCCTGGGCGCTGTTATTCAGCCTGCAGATGCTGTAATGGATTGTCAGTTGGCCTCCAGCCAGGAGGTAGCGCTTGCAAAATAGGGCTGGCTGCAGTAGTTGCAATGGGATTTGTGTTTGCCTCATGTTACCTAGGAAAGGTACTCTTGTGTCTCAGGCAGTGGGCAGGGACATAGAGCTCCCAAATGCTTCTGTCCTTTGTGTTAAGCTACCAGGGTAGGTGGAGGGGCAAACCAGGTGGAGTCTGGGTCTGGCAAGTCCATGCTCTGGCTCTCCACATGCAGGTGCAAGCAGCAGCCCCAGTGGGGAGCAGAGAGCAGTTCTCTTGCCACTGGAGTAATGTTCCAGGGAGGCACGCAGCTGCTGCTGCTGCACAGAAGAGTCCACGTGGGGAGTGGGGAGTAGCAGGAGCAGTAAGCCCCACCCAGCTCCCCTACACTTGGTAAGCCAGGTCTCCCACTTGCAGTGTTCCACTAGCAGCTGCTAGCTAGGTTCCAGTCAGTCTGTGCTCAGAACTCAAAACAGTCCTAGGCTGTAAGCCTTCTTCACAGAGACAGAAACCACTGACGCTTTCAGGCCCCTCCCCTCTCAGGCTGCCCATGAATCAGGGTCGCCCAGCTCCTCACTCAAAATTATATCTCAAATCTCACTTGGGACGTTCTCTCAATCCATGACCACCCTGAGTTCGCTGGCAGACTTTCACAGGGTTCCCTGTTAGGTAGAATTAGCGATGGCTTCCCTCCTTCCCTGCTGGAGACTGGGAGTGCACACACAGCAGGTCCTGATGCTGCTCCTTCTCATATACTCCCCACCACTCACTAAATAAGCTCCAGAGCTGGGTAAGGTTAAGGCCTTCCTCAGTGGCCTGGATTGCCAGATTCCCTGGTGGAAATTGTATCCCAGAAGTAGCTTATCTACCTCTCAAACTCTGGTGATTTTCCACTGGGCTTATGGTGTGTGCTGCAGCCCACGACTTCTTTCAGAGCATCTGTGGTTTCTTTCGGTTTTCCTGTGAAGTTTCTGTGTTACTTCTTGGAAAAAATTTCAGGGCATGAATCTCTTCACATTTTTTTTTGTCGTTCCAAGTGGAAGAGGCATGCTAACAATGCCTCCAATCCATCATCTTTGGGAAAAAAAGTAAGTTTCTTATACTATACATGAAGTAATGAAATGGAAGAGCTCCCTGATTCTCCTTGCAGGATGTGCAACAGGAGTGTGGCTCACCTGTTTGGTTGCCCTGCAGCTCAAATCCCTAGGGAGAGTGTGCAGACTGGCAGGTGCAATGACCTTGGTGAGTGCTTTTGGCTCTCGGCCTCATTACTATGAGGCTTCCAGGCCCCAGTAGTGTCTAGGAGTGGTTGCCTGCAACCCCAGAGTTACAAAGCTCTTTCAGCTTTGCTGTCTGCAGACAGCCTGAGGGTTAATCAGCTCAATGGACTCTCTGCCTTATTGCAAGGCCTGAGGGCCAGTGTGGCAGCTTTCTGTATCCCAAGCTCTTGCCGAGTGTCCTGGAAGAATCAAATCACACATGGGCTTGAAGGATAAGTGCAAGGTTTTATTGATGGTTGGAGGTGGCTCTTAGAAGATGGATGGGGAGCAGGAAAAGGGGATGAAGTGAGAAGGTGATGTTCCCCTGGAGTCAGGCCACCCAGAGGCCAGTCCTTTCTCAGACCGCCCCCTGCCGAACTCCCCTCGGCATGCAGACATCCCTCCTCTTCTCTCTTTCTCTGCCACATCATTCTGCCATCACTGGTCTGCTGGTCTGCTGTTCTTCTCTGGATCTTGGGATTCAGGGTTTATATGGGAGCAGGACAGGGGCCATGGCAGGCCAAAAGGCAACGTTTTGGGTGTGAAAACAGAAATGCTTGTTCTCAGGGCCGCAGATATCCAGGCTTGAGGGTGGGGGCCTTTGCCGGGAAACTGCCCTCTTCTACCTAGTATTTCCCTGTCTTCTGTTCCTATCAGTAATATAAAATATTATTTGAAATGAGGACTAAATTCTGATCTTTTTTTATCTTGCCCAAATTCCTACCTAAGGGGTCTGGGGAGTCATGCCCTACAAACCAGTCTCAGAGGAGTTTTATTTAACCCTATATAACATGGCCTGCTTTCCAATATGACTCTGGCATTATATCACATGACAAATAAGAAAATAAAATTTTTTAGCTCCAAATATATTTCCTTGCCATATCTTGAAATTGCCCTGCGAGGTTGTCTCTTGTGGGAAAAATCCACATTCTATACAGAATCCCCTTTTACCCCTGCCTTTTATTCTTTCTTTCCAGACCCGGGAGATAATCAACTAAGAGCCAGGCACCCTTTTAAGCCCAATAAGAAACATTTTACAAACTACTCCCTTGAAGTCTGCTATCTGAGAGCTTCCTCTGCACAATAAAACTTGGTCTCCACAACCTTTTATCTTAACCTGAACATTTCCTTTCTATTGATCCCAGGTCTTTAGATAAACTCAACCAATTTTCAACCAGAAACATTAAAAATCTACCTATAAGCTGGAAGCCCCTGCTTCAAGTTCTCCTGACCTTCTGGACCAAACCAATGTATTTCTTAAATGTATTTGATTGAAGTCTCATGTCTCCCTAAAATGTATAAAACCAAGCTGCACTCTGACCACCTTGGGTGCATATTCTCAGGACCTCCTGAGGGCTGTGTCACGAGCCATAGTCACTCATATTTGGGTCAGAATAAATCTCTTCAAATATTGAACTGAGTTGGATACTTTTCATCAACAGAAGATAGCTTGAGGACAAAGATATTTATGATGACTATTAAAGAAAACAATAAAATAATATTTAAAGAGTTATAAATAATAAGCAAAAAGGAAATAAATTTTAAATTATCTTTAAAATATTCAAGCCAAAAGAGGGCAGAAAATAAAAGGGTTGGAAGCTAACAAAGAACAGATTAGCAAGATTTAAACTCAAATATCACAATTAGATTAAATTTAACTGCCCAAATAGCCAATACAAAGGCAGAAATTGTCAGATTAGATGAAAAATCAACACTCAAATATACACTATTTATAAAAAAAAAAAAAACTTTACATATAAGGACATAAAATATTAAACAAAGCAATAAGAAAATATCTTTCATGCTAACACTAATTTAGAAACAAACTGAAGTATTTGTATTATATTTGATATATTACATTGTGGAACAAAAAAAAAATTACCAAGAAAAAATAAGGTTATTTAATAATGATAAAGGTGCCAATTCCTTAAAAGGACATATAATCCTAAATGTTACTTACCTACAAAGAGAAAAAATACATAAAACAAAAGCTGATAGAACTGAAAGGAGAATTAAATAAACAAATCCACAGCTTTACTTACAGATTTCAATAAATCTTACTTAAAAATTAATAAAACCTATAGACAGAAAATCAGTAAGGCTATTGAATGTTTGAACAAAACAATCAGCCAAATTTAACAAATTGACCCAATTAACATTTACATAATATCCAACAATAGCAGAAAACAATCTTTTCAAGTGGAACATGCTCATAATAGAACATTTATGCAGATAAATTATAAATTGGGTCACAAGACAGATTCCGATGCCTTTAAAATAATTCAAGTCGAACAAATTATGTTCACTAATGATGTGATATTAAATTAGAAATCAACAACAGTAAGATTTCTGGAAAAACCCTAAATATTTAGAAACAAGATAAATAACTTCTCAAAAAAGAAAATCCAAAAAATTGAGCTAAATAAATATAAAGACATAACACATCAAAATGCTTTGGCTGCAGCTATAACAATATTTAAAGACTTTTTTTGCCCTAAAAGCTTATGTGAAAAAGAAGAAAGGTCTCAAATCAGTTGACTTAGCTTCCACCTTATGAAACTAGAAAAAGAAGAGCAACTGAAATCTAAGGACTGAAGAAAACAATGACATAATAAAGATCAGAGCAGAAATCAATAAAATAGAACACAGGAAAAAAATAGAAAAATATCAGTGAGATAAGCAGATGCTTCTTTGGGAAGATTTTTAAAAATAAAATTAAATTAAATAAACCTAGTCAGAATGGTCGTGGAGAAAAAAAATCAAAGTAATACTTTACGAATATAGAAATAAGAAAGGTGATATCACCACTGATTCTATAGATATTAATAAGATAATCAGAGAAATTATGAACTACTTATGAACAAATTATGAACAATAAATTCAGTGACTAAATTAAATAGGCAAATACATTCAGAGACACAAACTACATAGGCTCACTATAAAATAAAAATAAACTGAACAACCTTATCTGTATTTGAAAAAAAATTATAGTTAAAAATCTTTACAAAAAGAAAACTCCAGGCCATAATGGATTACTAGTTAGTGATACAAAATATTTAAGAAAGAAATAATACCAGTTGTATATAAAATCTTTCAAAAATTTTTTTAGAAATACTTTTGAATTTAGTCTGTGTTGTCAACATTGCTGTAATACAAAAATAAAAACAAAAAAAAACTATACACCAAAGTCTCTCATGAACATAGACACAAACATTCTTAATAGTATACTGGCAAATCAAATCCAACCATATATATAAATAATAATAAATCATGACCAATAAACTCATAATAAATCATGAGTTTATTTTAGTAATGCAAGGTTGACCTAACATTTGAGAATCCATAAGTGTAATTCACCATATTAACGGTCTAAATATACATCTATATTTTAAAAACCTAATTTTAAAAAAATGGGCAAAAAATTTGAATATACATACCTTTAAAGAAGATATATTGATGGCAGGTAAGCACATATAAATATGATCAACATCATTAGCAACTAGGGAAATGTCGATTAAAACCAGAGTGTTATTGTGTGTGTGCGTGTGTGTGTGTGCATGTATGTATTAGACCAAAATTTTAAAAATGTAGACAGGCATAAACACTTGGGAAAACAGTCTGATAGTTTCTTAAAAAGTTAGACATACACCAACCATATATATCACTCATTCCATTTCTGAGTTTTTACCCAAGCCGGTAGGAATGAGAAGTAGGAATTGCAAAAGGCGTAAGGAAACTTCTGTGAGTAAATTATGTTCATCATCATTATTGTTTTAATGGTTTCATGTGTGTACATCTGTCAAAACTTATGCCATTATACAATGTAAACATGTAGTTTTTTGTATATTGATTATACCCCAATAAAGCCCTTCAGGAAAAGGAGAGTATGTTTGTCTTACATTGAACTCAGGAGGGGAAATAAGTCTCCTCTGAGAATTAGTAATTATAGCTTGTCCTCATGTAGATTTGACTTACAAAATTGCACTAACTAATGCCTCTGGAGGCCCCAAGATGAGAAATGAATATAAATTTACCCCGCTAGAAATCTTGTTAAGAGCTAAAACAAATTTATCTTAAGGGAGACGCTCTGAATTTTAACCTTGTTGTATTCCCACAATAAAGTCATGAAATTTAAATATGTTTGTAATACAATATTCACAAATATTCAAGAAAGTAGAAAACCATGGGTGAAAGCTGGAATTCTCCACAGGAGCACCCCCAGGACATAAGTACTGATTTATCGTATACAAAATATAAATTTCATTAAAATACTTAAAAGACAGTAAAATATAGAATTTAAAAAAAAAGTAAGGTAAATTTCAAAGAGAAACAAATTGAACATCTAAAAATAAAGGTTGTATTCACTGAAGTTACACATGAAAGAAATAACAGCGGATAAGATTAAGTTAAAAAGAAAATCAGTGATCTGAAACGTAGATCTACAGAAATTACATGAAATATGCCACAAAGAGCTAGAAATTTAATGATAAAAGACATTAAGAGATTTGGAAGATATAGTAAGTTCCAATATGCTTCTAATCACAGTTTTAATAAGCAATACTCATGAGAAAGTGAGAGAGAAATTATGCAAATAAAAATTGCTGAAATTTTTCTATAACTGGTAAAAAGCATGAATGTTTGGATTCAGAAGTTCCTCAGTTCCTAAGCAGAATAAATAAATCCAAGAAATGCTGGTGAATCAGGTAGTTGCAAAGCATAGACAATAATATTAATAAAAATTTTCAATATTTTATGTTTAAATTTTTATGTACCATTTTCAGGGGATTTTTTTCTCTATGCATTAACCTACTGAACACCTCTATGAGAACATTTATTGCCACTTAAAACATTTAAGAATTTATTTTAAAATGCTCAGAAATGTGATATAGCAAAAATAACAATAAAGCCATATTCAGGAAACTTTGGGTTTGAAAGCTCAGCTGTGCCACTTGTCAGCAATATGCCATTGTTCCCTATGTAAGCAAGAAGCAAACACTGGAAGCAAGAAATATCTATTTTTGTTCCAATTCTACTTATAATTTATAATTCCATTATTACTAAAATAACTCATCATTCCATACTTAATTATCCTTTTGAAAAAAATGCATTTAAATTACTTCACCTCTCATCCAGGGGTGTTAAAAGGCAAAATAATAATAGAAGAAATAATTCCAAAATGGTTTGGAAAAATATGACACATAATCAATACCTGTTATTTAAGGCTATTTTTGAGTTGAGTGTTCTAACTAGCTATCACCCTTAGAGACAGAACTTTCTGTCTTTGCTGCTGTTTCATAAGTACAAAGCATGCTATAATAGATAAGGATTCAAGAGACTGCTTAGAGGGCATACTTTGTAGCTTACTAGAGTCAAGTCAGAGAATCTCAGAATAGAAAGGGATGATAAATGTCATATTTGGGCTTCCATGAGTATTTATTAATAAGCAATTGAATCTCCTTTACCACAGCCTTGTCAATGGGTGGTTAAACTTATGACTGAATATGTCTTGTGATAAGAAATGCAGTAGTGCCTAAGAAAGCCAATTCTGAGTGTCAAAAAGTTATTCCTTATCCTGGCACACTGAACCTTAATGACACTTATTTTCCCCAAAAAGAAAGTGGAGTGATAATAATAGCAACCATTTATTAACTACCTACTATATGTCAAGCATGGAATTAGCACTTTCCATAGTTAAATTCTAATCATCACAAATTCCTGCAAGATAAGTATAACTATCCTCCTTTGACATTATAAGAAAACTGAGATTCGAATTTAAGTGTCTTTGCCTAAGGCCACACACTAATCATTAGAAAAATCTAACTCTTGCTCCCAGTCTGCTAAGATTGCTGTAATAAAAATTAAATTAAATCTTACAAGAAAAAGAGATTTGTAAATTGAATTTTAAAAAAATATAAGCTGTTCTTATAATTACTGGAAATGTCTACCTGGTTGGACCAGTGTTCAATTTCGTAAAGCCTAGCCCACTTCTTAGCATGACAGAGATGCTCAATAACAGTTCATTTGCTTATCTTAAATACAGAACAGTGCACTATTAAACATATTCAATAATGCTGATGTCTATCAAATCTTAATTCCAATGAAGAAATTAAGAAACAAGAAAGGCAGTATTTCTATAAAAATAAGACAGTTTAACTGAATCCAAATGTTCTTTCAGAATAATTCTGATTATACTGATTTTGGTTGTATTTTTTCAGGATTTATGTTATATTTATCTATTCTTATTGGAAATTGTTAAAAGTTTAGGAAAGATGGTTTACACTTGTAGTCCCAGCTATTCAGGAAACTGAGGCAAGAGAATCACCTGAGCCCAGGAGTTTGAGGCCAAAAGTTAAGAACAGTGTTCAGAAAAATTTCCAGCCTTCCCAGAATGGCACACAGTCATGGAAGACTGTCACAATTTCTGAGGCTTTAGGCTTTTAAAATATGAGAAAGTGTCAGGAAGACAGCTTTTCAAGATTTCAACTTAAAAATAACTTTACCATAATATTACCCATCTGCTATAGGGTTGACTTAATGTCTCTTCCAAGAAAGTTATGAACTTGTAAAAAAAAAAAAGGCATAAAATTTAAAGTTTCTCAGAGAAAACACCAAGAAGAGGATACAATAAAGAATGATCACTGTGCCTTTTTTTTCCCCTGGAATCCATATGCACCTTCAAACGTGAAGGTGGGTTGGGGGCTTCCTAAAGCCAGCAGGGGCTCCCACAAAGTGCCCTCAGGTCCTCCCTTCCATGCGTACCCAGGCACTGACCTCAGGGCCTTGATCTTGCATTCACTTCTTAGACTTCTTTGTCCATAACTTCCTCCTTGATTGTCACAAACCTGATTCCAGCTTCCTTTGCTAAATTCACACTCTGTGTCTGTCTGGATTCAGCAGTCAATTTTTTTTAATTAACTTAAAATTAGTTCCAGGATACATGCGCAGGTTGTTACATAGCTACATATGTGCCACGGTGGTTTGCTGTACCTATCAACCCGCCACCTAGGTGTCAAGCCTGGTGTCACCTAGGTGACACCTAGGTGTCAGCTATTTTTCCTGATGCTCTCCCCGCACCCTGTCCTGCCGCAACACCCCCCAATGTGTGTTGTTCCCCTCCCTGTGTCTATGGGTTCTCATTGCTCAGCTCCCACTTATAAGTGAGAACATGTGGTGACATGAATGGAGCTGGAAGCCATTATCCTCAGCAAACTAACGCAGGAACAGAAAATCATCAGTTCATTTTAACGAATATTTGTTTAAGATCTACTATTCCCCCGACTCTGCTAGACCATGATAAAATGGCGACAAAAACACACAAGCTCTTGACTCTCAGAGTTCACAGTCTGATGGGAAAAGATCACATCAATGAAGGAAAGGTAAAACTCGAATAAGCATTTAAAAAGAGAAAGTCCTGGTACCAGAAGTGCCTAAAACAGGGAATTGACCAGTCACAGAGGTCAGGAAAAGTTTTCCTGGTGAAACAACACATGTGTTGAGATCTGAAGTTAGGAGTTATGTAAAAAGAAAATGCAAATCTGTAACAACTGAAAAAATACCAGAAAAATTTATTTATGCTTCTGTTGAGTTTCCTGTTTATATGCTTTATTAGTGTATTCGTTCCCTGCTACTTCTGTAACAAGTTACCATACACTTACTGGCTTACAACATCACTGATTACATCTCTTACAATTCTGGAGGCCAGAATTCTGAAATGGGTTCCACTGGACTGAAATCAAAGGGTCAGCAGGGCCTGCCTTCTCCGGGGAACACAAAGGACAATCCTTTTCCTTTCTTTTCCCGGTGTCTGGAGGCTGCCCTCATCCTCAGCTCATGCCTTACATCACATTGTCATTTCTTGCCCTGCTTCCATTGTTACATTGCCTCCTGCCTCTCCTGGAGTAAAATCTCCCTGTCTCCCCCTTATAAGGTACTTACTATGCTATTTAGGGCCAACACAGATAACCCAGGATCATCTCTCCATCTCAAGATCCTTAACTGTATCATATCTGCAATGTCCCTTTTGCTAGCTATAGTGACAGTCACAGATTCCAAGGATTGGGATGAGGATATCTTGGGATGGGGGAGGGATTACTCAGCCTACCACAGTCAATAATTCTATCTTCCCACAGTTTAAAAAAACAAACAAACAAAAAAAAGACTTCAGCATAAACTCACTGCCTAAGTGAATACATTGCTGCATTCCCCAGGACCCCTTCAGGACAGAGGCACTCAGTCTTCCTAAAGAATTGCTCTGGACCCAAAGCAGCTGTCTTTTCCCAGATTATACCTGGCATCATCACCACCACCACCCCTGCAGGGGACAGATCACACTCAATGACTGCTCTGTGCAGTACAGCGATGCCTCCCCCCACCTGCACTCAGGACAAGTTGGAAATGCCATCCCTGTACCCCTGCTCCCCAGGGCCTCTGCTGGGTATGTTCACCTTCCCCCTCTATCCAGTCTTGCCTTGTTTGCTCCCTCACAGGTGCTGCTCCTGAGACCTCTTCCAAATAAACCTCCTGCATGCACATTTCTGCCTCAGAGTCTGTTCCCAAAACCTGATTAATGGCAGGAATCATACAGAATTTTAGCTTTGGGTGTTTACCAATGTTTGTTTTTGATTTTTCTTTTTTCTTTGTTTTAAAAATACAAAATAAAACCATTAACTTGACTGAGATATCTGATCATTCTTTCTTCTCTGGTCCTCTCCTCTTATTATTGACATACTTCTTCAAAAGTGTTTTAAAATTGTTTTTTTTAATGTTGAATCGTTCCGAGCTTTATATGGCAGAGAATGTTTCTATTTATTTATTTATTTGTTTGTTTGTTTATTCATTTATTTGTTTTTGAGGCAGAGTCTCGCTCTGTCGCCCAGGGTGGAGTGCAGTGGCCCGATCTTGGCTCACTGCAAGCTCCATCTCCCGGGTTCACGTCATTCTCCTGCCTCAGCCTCCCAAGTAGCTAGGACTACAGGCGCCTGCCACCACGCACAGCTAATTTTTTGTATTTTTAGTAGAGACGGGGTTTCACCGTGTTAGCCAAGATGGTCTCGATCTCCTGACCTCATGATCCGTCCGCCTCAGCCTCCTAAAGTGCTGGGATTATAGGCGTGAGCCACCGTGCCCAGCCGGGAGAGAGTGTTTTAATAGTCCCTTACACTAAAATAATAGTTTAGCTGGATATGAGACCCTAAGCTCAAAGTGCATTTCTTAACCACTTTGAAAATATTACTCCATTATCTCCTTGCATAGTGATTGAAGTCTGATGTCTAACTGGTTTTCATCTTTTATCGTTAACCTATTCTTTCTCTTTAAAGCTTTTACAATTCTCTCTTATCTTCAGTGTTCCTAAACTAAAAGAGTCAGACTGCCTTTTCCTGAGATCAGTCTCAGATTTAAAAGCAAAAACAAAAATAAACAAAAAAGGAAGGAAGGAAGGAAGGAAAGAAGGAAGGCAGAGAGGAAGGAAGGAAGAAAGAAAGGAAAACCTTTAACGATTGTATAGAATGTATGTGTATTAAGTACCAGAGTATAGTGCAATGTAAAATCTTTCAGGAAGCTGAACGTTCTTCTCTTGATGCCCATCTCATCCTAGAGCATGATTTTATTTGCTTGTTATATTCACAAATGTCCATTTTGTATTTGTAAATTATTGTCTATTACGATAAAGCCTCCCTGGAAAAATAGGTTAAAAAAGATACAACTTCTCAAACTGTGGACCACAAGGCCCAAGAATGAGAATTGGCATGTTGGGCTCAAACACTGAATTTCAATGTGACAGGCTGGGATTTTCTTTTACTTCGTTTGTTTTCATGAAGAAGGGAAATAAAGAATATTTACCCAGTATGCAGCATGTGTGAAAAGTCTGTTTCTGTTACAAAGCAGAATAATTTAAAAGTGCATGCTCTTTTCTGTGAAGTCCAGCCTATATATAAATCAATAGAGCAGAAATGTAGGAAGAGACGTAAATTATATTTTGTCAAAAGGTCAACCTCTATTGGTCTGACCAGGAATATTATATCAGCATCTATGAACGCCATTGTTTTGGGGCTTGGTTTTGCTCAGATATTGATGAAATTCAATAATATATTGTTTTTATCTATCCCAAAGATAAATTCTATATTGGCCCTTCATTGACACGTTAAATACAGATAAAAATTTCACCCAGAAGTCATTGTGCCAATCAACCATATCTGCAGCTCCATCCTATGTTCTCTTCAGGTTTGATCTAGCCAGGATCTATGGATATCAATCAATGCTTCCTGTGTTGATAGTATAGACCACAGCTCTATGATACTGAGTGTTCTTTCTAATCATTATTTTATTAAGAATAATGAATGTGTATAAGGTAATCAAATAAAATGACTGATTTTTTTCTTTATTCTAAAAGGTATCAGAATTCATACATCCACATCAAAGATTCCCTTTCAGAGTAGGGAATAAATAATATTATCGATCCACAAAATGTTTTAGAAGCCTCTTTTGGAAATGGATTTAGAACTACTTCTAAACCACACATGGAGCTTATCTTAATATTGAATAGTCACACTATTTAGATCCAAATTTTTTTATTCACCTTGTACTACCTCTGAAATCACAAAGAATGACTGCCAATGTGGTTACTCCAGTGGAACTCTGAGGGCAATTCCAGAATCCAGAGCTCCTCTCCTCCAAATGCTGAGAGCAACTTGTCATAAGCACATGGCTAGGAAGCTAAAGTTTGGAAATGAACAGTGTTCATCTGGAAACAGTATTTCTCTTAACCCCCATTTACAAAAAAATAAAAATAAAAATGAAGAGCCCAGATCGGCTTTAAAGGCGAGTTAGCTCCAGACTAGCTAGAATGATGCCCAAATAAAGCATAGAAATAAGACATTTTTATAAAATAAAAACTGCAACCAGAATTGAAAATGAGAAGGGCAGTGGTTCACTATTTATTTTCGAATTCTTTTTATCTCTGTACGAGGTGCCTGGAAGGCACACACTAAATATACAGAAAATTAGTGAGAAAACAGGGGCAGGGAAATGAGTTTCCATTACTCAATGTTCAAGGCAAGTTCAATTTATGTTGTTAAATGAATGAATGAATAAATGAATGATATTTTTATTTTTCAAATACATTGAATGCATTAAAAGTTCCACTTCCAGAATGAGAGACCAATGAATTGAGCCAGTTTTGCTTTTATCAGTCAAAAAGAAGCAAGAATACAAAGGGTTATGGAAACCAGAGGGACACTGACTGAGGTATGGGGACTGTAAGTGCCCTTTGTAGGCCCCCAGGGCATCCTTACAATAGAACGAACATGAGTTCTGGTTCCAGCAGACCTGGGTCTTGCCTCAGTTCTGCCACTCACTGACTGTGAAGTCCTTTAACTTCTATAGGCTTTAGTTCCTCACCTGTAGTATAGATAAAATGAAGCCTCTCCTGTAAGGCTGTTGAAAATATTTTAAAAGGTAATGTAATGGCCAATAATGTATTACATGCTGGCACTGCCATGTAATACATGTCCCAACAGATTATTTCACCCAATAGGCAGGAGGAACGTGGGCCCTAAAACACAAACAGGGCATCAGACATGTCTGTTCTTGTCCTATCAATGCTGAGAGTGAGAGGAAATGTGGTTTAAAATTAGAAAAAGACTACATAAGGTTATGAATAGAAAAAAAATAGATTTGTTCATTACAGCTCAGCAAACTGTATGTCAGCCTTCATACCGTTATAGTCTTAAAAGATGCAATTAGGACAAATTAATGAAAGAAAACTTAGAAAAGTGTCCTTGAGGAATATTCATATAATTCCCTCCTTCTCATTCTACACCTTTATGCTCAAGCATCCCCCACCATGAAATCTTAAAAACCCTGTCTAAAACACTGTCCGTCTGCCTCCTGAATGTGCATTCATTTTCTTCATAGCTCCTATCCCTACCTGACCTTATTTTCTACTTTCGTTCATTTTCATTGCCTGTCTCCCACTCTAGAATATAAGCTTCTGAGGACAAATAGTAGTCACTCGACTATTTGTTGAATAAATGTTAATAAGCCAAAAAGTAAATTCCAAAGAATTATGAATGATTATTAAAGGAATATGGATGTTTTTGAAATATATCTCTAAGTTTCAAAGTGAAGCTGCATAAATTGGAAAGACCCATGGACTGAGAGAGAGGAAACTCAAATGAGCTCAAGTCTTAACACTAGCTTAACTGAATGCTTTGGAAAAACATTCCTTTCGAGCTTAATTTTATAACCCCAAAAATGAAGATATTTCACTAAATAATTCTTTAGGAGTCTTTTACTGCTGTCATTTTCTTATGTTGGAATTCCATGACTAGCAAAAGGAAGGGATGGCAGGGATGCAGAGACTGCAGACAGGAGCAAGTATGTTTGCCAAACAGGAGACTAAATTGAATCTCACAGCTGACTTTTTCCTGAGTAGCTCAGCATTTAGGCACTGCCTTCCATAGAGAGAAAATGCTTCTGGGTGTCAGGATCCCCATACAAGCCCAGTTGTAGTTTGAAATAGTGACACTGGCCATGTCATCTAATTACCTTCTATTCTTACTATTTCTTCTACATTTTCTGTAAGGCATAGCTTCTTACATATGCAAGCCAAAGCTCTGCCTGCAGAGATCATGCCATCTCTGCCTGTCCCAGCTAGCAACCAACAAATGGATATTAAATGTACAATCCACGTAACCTAGACTTCAGTTTTCTCTGGTGTCTTATGTATTTTATGATCAGCATACTCATTAAGCACTCTCTAACAACTTTATTAGCTCTCTCTCACTTTCCAGAAGCTTCTCATTGCCTTTCCTTAGCAAATTTATTTTCCTGTCTGCGTCCAGGACTCTGCAATTTGATCCAAATGTGTTTCATTTGTTTCTAACTAAAATGCCATGCATTTTCACATGACTTTTGCGACCTCTTAATATCAGCTCATTTCTTTCCTCCGTCACCTTCCTCTTTCAATATGCACCTTCTTCCACTTTAATTTCTCTCCCACGGAACTCACTGATTAGCTGTTGAGGCTTCAGGTTTCACTGGCTGTGTATAACTTGTTCATTCCACAGCCGCTTGGCATGGAATTACTCTCGATCAGAGCAGTTGTGCACTCAACGAGCCACAGACAGTGGAAGACTTCAGCAGGCAGTCAACAGCTCGTGCATGCTGTCAAATTAATGTGCTTGAACAAGTGCTGAGAGCCACGTATTTCCTCAGGTGGTGTTATTCCAGTATGGATGTAACATGCCTTATGTATCCTATCCTTTTTATTTTTCCTGTTGGATATTTGAAGAGCTTATGGTAGAATTTCTTAGCACTACTTGTATGTAGTTTCTCTCAGTCAGTCTTCCTATAGTTGCTACTCTTTGTCTCTAAAAAATCAAGGGCTTTATAAGATACACATAAAACAGAGCCTGGAGTCAGAAGATAGACAGATAAACAATAAGTGACTTGAGGAGTTTTCTAGCTCAGATACCTGGTTTCTCAGGTAAGGAAACCAAGCACAGCAAGGAAGCAGAGGTGCAGCTATTTAGCCAAGGTACCTCTTAAATCAGTACCTAAATTATTCCCAGTAGTAGCTACATCAAGAATTCAATCAAAGAGATGTTGGATAGTTGATCTGAGAGAACTCAGTAAGCTTTTGACAAAACAAGGGTTCAAGTTTATATGAAGCTGGCAGATTTGTAGACTACGAGTGCATCACAAGCAAAAGATTCCTGTGTGTGAAAGGAAAAAGAATGAAGATAGATATGCATTATTCATGCTGATGATTAAAAAGGAAGAGATTCCCATGGGGCCTGCTGTTAGCATCTCAACTGGACCTGGGTTGGGTTCAGGTTGGAACCAATCTGCCAGCAGTGCTGTTAATGGTCATTGCTGAGGTTTCTGAGAAACACTTGGTTCAGAGAGTTCTCATCTTTGAGCTTAATTTCTTTCTTTTTCCAAAAAGTTTTTATTATATAAAATATGTAAATACACACATTTGCATATCTGTGTTGATTTTACACACTGGGAATATGGAATTCTTTTCTGCAGCTTGGCTTTTTTTTTACTCAGCAAATATACAGCAGCTATCTTGCCAGATCATGATGTATATCTAGCTACCCTTTATTCTTCGTAATGGCCGCATAGTATTCCAGGGTTTAGATAACCATAATCAATACAGTCACTTTCTAAACAGTCTTTTCTAATAATATAAATAGTGTATGCTCTTATTAACAAAAATAATTTGAATAAAGAAACAGAAGTGAAAGAATCTTCCTTTCTCTCAACCATGCTCATATCTCATACTGAGATAACTATGCCAAGACACTGTTTTCAGTTCTTCTAATCTTCATGCTTATGACTTTAGATAAAATACTTATCTTAGCCATCTATTTGTATTTACCAATTTGAGAGTATTTAATTACCTTCTATTCTTATTATTTTGTGTATCCTTTCTGTAAGGCATAACTTCTCGCATATATAAGCCATATTCTGTTATCAAGAATTAGGAATTTAGCCCAGGTAATCTTCCTTTGCTACCCTTCTCATGCTTAATGTACTCCTCGTTTCAGTGTTAGTATATTTATATTTTCAATGTTCATAATATTTAAAGTTTAATGTGACTATAATTTAATCTCATAATTTAGGATGTGGTGAAAACTCATTTAAAAAATCAACATTTTTATTACTATGACTTTGAAATTTTATGCCATAACAATTTATTGAAGAAAATGTTTTTAAGTATCTTTATTCAAAATATATCAAAGTTTCTTTCTCATTTATTTTACTTCCTTTGGGACATACTCAACTGCCACTGCTCCTTGTATCTAATGTCACCCATTTCCCAGGATTAATTTTTCTTTCTTTTTTTCCTGAAGCATGCTCTAAAGTATACATTTTCATATAAAATGTCTAGGACAAAATTTTTTCATATTATTATATGCTGAACATCGTTTTTATACTTTGCTCTTAAGCTTGTTTGAGAACGTTCCTAGAAATAGAATTCTAGGTCCAAATGTTTTCTATTCGATTTTAAAGATATTAAAATATTGTATTCTTGTATTCAACCTGTTATCAGTCTGATTCTTAATGCATTGTAAATAACATGATCTTCTTTATTCTTTACTTTCTGAAATGATGAGTAGTCAAAATTTGTATACTTGTTTTGTCATAATTAGATTCCGGTTAAAGGACATATTCTGTTCTCTAACAGCCTTTTATCTTTGATGGCCTGTGCCTGAAGTAATTTTCACATTAGAGAGATTACAAAGTAGCAATTTTCTAAATTGTTCATTCCTTCCATTAAAAGAAGCTATTTTTTCTTCTCTCTCTCTCTCTCTCTCACACACACACACAGAGTACATATTGATATATAAGATATGCATATACATATACATGTATATCTTAACTATCAACAAGTGCTCATAAAATTATTTCTATTCAATATGTTACAATCTAATTTCTGATTCCAGTACTGGGGAAGTAACTTTTTTTGGACTAACCCTTTTACAGATAACAACTAAGAACAGTGGGAGAAATATGATAATAACTATTTGGAATCTCTGCACGCAGAAATTACAGATCGGATCCTTGATAGCTAAGAACCACAATGAATGAGACCCAAGTTCATTCAGCTTTTCCCCAGAGGGCATCCCTAGAAACAGGGCATTGAAAACCTAGAATTCAAGAAAAGAGCCCCAGTGTTGTTGGTCTGAAGAATCCAAGAAAATATTTGAGATGACCAGAGTTGCACAAAATTGAGCGGAAAATCCTAAAAATGAGGAAATCTCAAAGACCCCAAAGTCTCCATATAAACTCCCCTCAAATCTTTGGCCATATTTTAAAGAAACCAGGGACACCAAAGAGAAAATGAGTGAACGTCTGAGACAGCTGAGTAGAGGTTTCAACAGATGGACATACAATTTGGAGTTTAAGTCTTATCAAATTAGAGGGGCTTGGCAAATACTTTGAGTTTTTCATTGAAACTTTTTAAGGTCCATATCTTAGAATTAAAGATTACATAAAAGGAAGTACACTGAGAGGTATTTAGGTAAATGTTTCAAAAACTGTTTTTATGTTCTTAATTCTTTAAAAACAAATTGACTCATTAAAGCAAAAATAATAACAACATATTGTGGAGTTATAACATGTAGAAGTAAACTTTATGATAATAACAGCACAAAAGATAAGAGAAGATGCAAACAGAGTTATTTGGTTGCAAATGAGCCTTAATTATAAATGGCATAATACTTTTTACTATTTTTAAAAATATTTGTCCATTGCAATTCAAAATTAAAATCGATTTGGTATGTAGTTTTATTTTTTCTGTTACTTCATTAGGTTTTAATATCAATGTTGTACTTTCTTTGTGTGAATACTTTTTTATACTCTGGAAATATCTATTTAGCATTGAGATTACCTGGTCTGAAATTTTGGTAAAATTTTCCTATGAAACTATCTGGGCTTGAAGCAATTTTGGAGGGTAGATTTTATTGTTGCTGTTGTTTGCTTTTTCTTTTTGTTTTCATGGAAATTTGTATATTTAAGGCTTTAATCTATACTGGGGTCAATTTTTGAAAATTGTATATATGTAGCAAAATCTTATTTTCATCTAGGTTTACAAATTTATTTATATTACACATAATTTTAATTTCCTCTTTTCCTTCTTACTTTGTATTCGGTTTATATGTGCATTTTCCTTTTATTCAGCATGACATTAGTTTTTGGGTTATCTATTTTTTTAAAATTTTTTTTCCAAAGAACCAATATTTTGATTAGTTCTTCTGTTATTTTTATTATTTCTTATTGTGCATTAGCTTATTTTCTTTTACAAGCTTTTGAATTGAATATAGTTTTTTATTCATTATATGAGTGAAATTTATTATTAATATAAGTATAAAAAGATATGAAATTTTATCTGATAATTGATTCAATTGCATCCTATAAATATTAACATGTTATGCTTTTATTTTCATGTTTTTAATTGAAGATATGTTCTGTATTTTCTCTATTACCCAAGACTGCTTTGATAGAGGGGTAGTTTTGTCTTGTGATTTATTTTGTTATTTTTTTCAGTTTGTTTTATGTCTAGTATATTATGTTTTAAAAATATTTTATGTGTACTTAAAAAGAAGAGGTGTTTTCTATCAAAGAGTGTACATTTGGTGTATGTCCATAGGTATTCTGGTAAACTGGCCCCTAGGAAAAAAGAGAAGAAAAGCCCTAATTATAGCATTTTGTCAATTTCTATTGGGCAAATACTGCCACTATGGCCAGTTTCAAATGACTACCATGTGCTGTCAACTGAATATGGAATTGGGAAAAGATGTGTAGAATCAGCTTTCACCAGCCATACTGTATGGGCCAGTTCCAACACAGCAGACATAACTCATTGACCTTGTATTTAGGCTTTCAATAGGCTTACTTATTTTTTATTTTACCTGATCTGTCTTGAACTTGGAATTATTTCTTAAAATTTCCTATTATTATTTTTATTTGTTTTGGTCGATTTCTGCTTATGTAGCTCCCATAGTTTCTGCTTTATGAAGGCGAATACCATATTAAATGATGCATGGTATTCATAGCTGTTCTAGCATTATTTTGAATTGTTATCTTAAGCAGTATAAATATGCTCTCCTTTATCTCTTATACTACTTTTGGGTCTGAATTTTATATTGTCTGATATCAGGATTGCAATCCCTATTTCTTTAATTGTTTCCATGTACATGATACACATTTAGCCATGCCTTTATTTTCTCACATTTCTGAATCACTTTGTTTTAGGCATGTCTTTTGTTTATAGCATAGAGCTGAAGTTTTTGTTGTTGCTGTTTCTTTTTTCATTCATTTTTTTGCTAAGCCAATTTGAAAACTGTTTCCTTTAAGTAGTTATAGCATTTATATTTATATTATTATATGACTAAAATATTTGGTCTCAAGCTAGATGATCTTAAGTTATATCTACGGTGGGTATTAGGTTATATTAACTACTTTTTTATATGCTCTGTTGGTTATTTTTAAAATCTTTTTTACTTATTTCGATATTTAGGATGATTTGAATTTTTTTTGTATTGGTTACTTTTATATATTGCCTTTCATGGTACCCTCAGTCCTTTTGATGAGGAAAACCTAAGTTTTCACTTCTTGGTTTATCAGCTTTAAGTAATATCCTTTCACTTCTGCTTATAATTATGATTCAATGTAGCAATCACTAAGAGATGATCCTATTTGCCCTTTTCTTCCTTCCATTCTGATTTTTAAATTGAATTATTTCTATTTTATTTTATGAATACATGACATTTACTTCCTCTTCTTCCACTCATGTATCCACTTTTGAATTAACCTTACATGTATATTAAATATATCTAATGCTCATTACCATTCCTTTTGATGAAGTTGTCCTAGTTATCTCTTGGTTTGATGAAGTTTGATCTGTAGTATATTCTTCAAAAATAACTCTGGAGTGAAGTATTTCCTGAGTTCCTCCAGGTTAAGACTGTTTTTCTATAGCATTGATTCTTGAGTGACAGAGAATTCCCTCTGGAGCGGAGTCCCTGTGGTTTTTGGGGACTTGTGCTTCCTTAGAACCTCACATGGCGCCCGACACAAAGTAGGCAATGAACAAATATGAGTTAAATTAAAGAATAATGTTGTCTATAAGTTTAATCAAGGGTAAGATCCACTCTGCAATGTATGTTGTCATCCATATAAAGGATCCTGGAAAATATAAGGCTGTACATGACATTTTTAGTTTTATCATATTGTGATTAGAGCATGTGTCCTCAGCCACCCAGGCAATTAAACAACTGTGTAATTGTCACTTAAAATCATAATGCAACAGTTATACTTTGTCCTTGAAAAGGGTCTAAATAAGTATGTGTCCTTGATCAATTCATAGTATACCTTCTACCTAAAAGGATTTTTCTCTACTGTGTATTCCCTCCTTTAAAGTAAAGATAAAACAGCACTGAATATATCCACAGGAGAGAAGATTTTCACCCCATGACAATTGGATCTTCATTTCTCACCAGTCAAGGACTAAGATCTGTGCTCAGCTTCCAGCTACACTGCTTTGGAGACTATTTTCAAGGGAACATGTATTGTTCAAAAAGAACAAAAAAAATTTGAGAGCAAGTGCTGTAGAATAAAGACAGTGGGTCAGAAGGGTATCCAGGATGGAGAGAGCACAGCACATAAGGATCTGACTTTTCAATTAATTGCAAATTGAAGAGAAATCTACAGCAATGTAACAATAAAAGAAACAAATACCTAGCTTACTCAGGTGACTGGCTAGTGGAAGAGGCACAAAAATTAGAGGAGGGTAGTTCTAGCAGGAAACATTCAGTAAATTACAGCCTCCAACTTGACTGATTGAGGAAATAAAGCCCCTTGCACACAATCTCCTCTGTGAAAGGCAAAAGGGAGAGAACATAATATTTATTAAGCATCAGTGGTATACCAGGCACTGTATTGGAACATTCATACACATTTTATTTCTCAATGCTCATGACAACCTTATGAAGTAGGTGGTATTATTAGTCCCTTTTTTAAAATAAAGAAGCCAAAGTACCCAAACATTAATTTACTTTCTCAAAGTCACAGACCTAACAATTGTTGGCAAAGCTGAGACTTAAATTCAGCTCTGAAAAAAAGCCCTTACTTTTGACTGGCTTACATATCCACATTTTTACTTTTTTTTCTTACTCCTTCACTGCTTCTTAATTTCAGAAAGACCAGGAAGACCAATAAAATTAGGCAGTGAAAGATGAGGATGAAGACTGTTAACATAGATATTCATGGGCTAGAGAAGCTCTGCATTGCTTTAGAGGAAGGAGACTGGACCACCTCCTTCTGTGTCACCACATGACCATCATACCAAAGCCAGAGCGGAGTTTTCTTTAGGTGCAGGATTGATAGTGGTCTCTTTTCTATAGTGAGTCAGCACATTTTAAATTATGGAATTGTAGAGATTTTTATGTCTCCATATTTTTCAACATTTTAGCAGCAAGACACTTTGTTCAAGGTAAAGATTACAAGGAAAAATATTCAGTATAGCATAGGACTTGGGACCAGAGGCCCTGGAGCCATATCCAACTCTACCACTTACTAGCTAGGTTACCTTGAGCAAGTTACTTAACCTACCTCTGCCCTGCTTTCCTTGCCTGCAAATTGCGGAAAATCATACTACGTAGTTACAGAGTTGTGAAGATTAAATTAAACTAAATCAGTTAATACCTATAAAGTAGGCAAGGCAGAGCTTGATGCGTACTAAGGCATTCATTGGTTGAAGGAAAGTTGGCTATGCTTGGAATCCTGAATGATGGCAATTCCTTCACAGAATCCTTGAAGACTCCACAAAGCACAATCATAAAGCATTGTTTTCAACTCTCTCACTTCCAGCTGAAGTAACTGGAGTTAAAGAGATAAAAGTTACTTAGCCGTGGCCACATAGCTAATTATTAACGAGCTACAATATGAACCCAGATCAGCTTACTTCATATAAAGAGTTCCGTATACATTTTTTTTTGAGACAGGGTCTCACTCTGTCACCCAGACTGGACTGCAGTGGCAAAAAACAAACAAACAAGCAAAAAAAAAAAAACAGTTCACTGCAACCCCAACACCTCCTTTGCTCAAGTGATCCTCCTGCCTCAGCCTCTCATGTAGCTAGGACCACAAGGCACATGCCATCTTGCTTGGCTAATTTTTTTTTTTTTTATTTTTGGTAGAGACAGATCTCACTTTATTTTCCAGGCTAGTCTCAAACTCCTGAGCTCAAGCAATCCTCCTGCCTTGGCCTCCCAAAGTGCCGGGATTGCAGGTGTGTGCCACTGCACCCAGCCCACATTTTATTAATCTGTATACTATTATTTTGTCTTCCAGAATACATTTTCTAAATAAACATGGTATGTGTATATTATATATATATGTGTGGATATATATGCATTTTGTATATACATATGCCATATGGAGAAGGCTTATACTATTTTATTAATTCCACACGTTAAAATAAATAAATTCAATTTATAAAAATAGAATTCCAATAAATACGTGGCTGGTAAGCCAGGAAAACCTAATAAATTATTGCCGTAAATATGCTGTAAACATAACTTGACCCCTCATTCCTGCCAGGGTATTTAACTCTGGCACCTGAATCAGTTTCCTTAAATGGTCAGACATAACACAGAAACAGAATAATAAACGCTTTATCCATCTTCACGCATCTAAACAAGAGAAGAGCTTTCTAATACATTTAGTAAAGTTCAGGGGCACTAGGACCAGGCAGTTTTACAGGTGAAGTTCATCGGGCTATAAAATAATAAAATAATCTCTCCTGGATTAAAAACCATTGCAGAAACTATAAAAATATAAGATGTATTAAAAATGAGATGAAAGTAAAGAAAATGTGTTAACTAATTTCAATATTATTATATTATTATACTTATTAATACTTATTACTTATAATCTTATAAATATTATTTATAATCTTAAATTTTATTATATAATCAAGTAATCTTTGATGTCTTTTAAAAATGTTTAGTATTTTTCTCAAAGATGTCCTGCACAAATTTGTAGTATTTTTTCTGAGAAACTGTGTATTTTTGTTGCAATGTTTAATGAGACTGTTAAAAATGGAAATTATAAAATAAAGTACTATTACATATAATTCACCTCAGAAAAAGTAAAATTCATGTTCCAACATCAGAAAATCTATTGGCATCATATTAAAAGAGTAAAAAGGAAAAATCATATCTTCTCAATGGACACAGGAAAAAGTATTCAATAAAATGCAACAGTCATTTATAATAAAATTCTAAGTAAACTAAGAATGGCAAAGAAGTTTTTTCACCTAATAAAGGACATCAAAAGGCTTTACTTGATATTTGTATAACAGCGAAACTTCAAAACGTTCCCATTAAGATTAGGAAATAAAGATGCCCCCTACTCTTTCTATTCTGTATTCCATTTTAGAATCAATATTACACCAATTATTCTAGCCAATGCCATAAGTCAAAAGAAAGGAAAATAAAGATGTCCAAATTTAAAAATTAGGACAAAAATATCAATTTGTATAACTTTATGATTATTACTATAACAAATTCAAGAGAATATACAAACTGTTGACATTAATATTTAGCAAGATTGCTACAAACCATTAATATCCTTATATATTAATACTAATAAAATATAACCAATTACATGTAATTCATAATAACCAAGTATCAAAAACATAACATTAAACAAAAACCTTAAGTTATAGAGTAACACATGTAATAATCTACAATTTTAAAAAGGTTTATATTATTTGGGGGCATATAGATAAGTAGATTAAAGTATAAAAGCGGCTGGGTGCAGTGGCTCACACCTGTAATCCCAGCACTTTGGGAGGCCGGGGCAAGTGGATCACCCGAGTTTGAGACCAGCCTGGCCAACATGATAAAACCCTGCCTCTACTAAAAATACAAAAAATTAGCCAGACATGATGGCGGGTGCCTGTAATCCCAGCTACTCTGGAGGCTGAGGCAGGAGAATCACTTGAAACTGGGAGGCAGATGCTTCAGTGAGCCAAGATTGCACCACTGCACTCCAGCCTGGGCAACAAAAGTAAAACTCCATCTCAAAAAAAAAAAAAAAAAAACCAAAAAAAACAAAGTGTAAAAGCATGCATGAATACTATAACCAAAAAATGTCCAAGGATCATCTGTAGGAAAGGAGAATGGGAAGGAAATGGGTGCAGAGAGAAATACAGGAGAAAACTTTTAGTAAAACGTTCTTTAAAAAGATTTGATAAAGTTAAGCAGGGTAAAACCAAGTCAATATGTTTGTCTTTACACTTCTCATATGTCCATAATATTTTAGATTCTTTTACTATTGAAGAAAAAAGTAAAGAAGTGCTATAAGGGAAAATGTATGTTAAAAATTTTAAATGGCATTAGCCTTTCAACACGGGTGTACATACATATTACAAGTTCCTTCTGGAGTGGGGGAATCTTTGTCTTGCCCTCCTCAGGGGATAACAATCTGCAGCTTTAGAAAATGGCATAAAACATCCTTGAAAAAGAAGACGATCATGTCCTTTGCAGGAACACAGATGGAGGTGGAGGTCATTATCCTTAACAACATTACCCTTATCCCAGTGCAGGAATAGAAAACCAAATACTGCATGTTCTCACTTATAAGTGGAAGCTAAATGATAAGAATACATGGACACAAAGAGGGGAACACCAGACACAGGGGCTTACTTGAAGGTGGAGAGTAGGGAGAGGGAAAGGATCAGAAAAAATAACTTTCAGGTAGTAGGGTTAGTACCTGGATGATGAAATAATCTATACACCAACCCCCCATGACATGAGTTTACCTAGATAACAAACCTGCACATCTGCGCCTGAACCTAAGAGAAAAAAAAAGGAAAATGGCATAAAGTACAGAGGTGTCCTCACCTTCGCCTGTAATTCATCTTTCAAAGCTGCCAGAGAAACCCACGGGCCAGCACATCTGCCAGAGCAGGTGAGATCTGTGTGTGTCCGGGGCCCCTTTCCCCTCTGACCATGGATTATTGCTTTTCTTCCTTCCCCAGAGGAAACCAACAGATCAATGGATACACTGCTGGATGGAGGTAAATGACTTCATTGCTTAGAAAATAAATGACTTTCACTAAATGTTCTTTGCTTCTCTAGTTTTGCATTGTTGTCATTCCTCCTGTCCTCAGAATTTCTCTGTGTCATTAAACACTGTAAGTTTCTGAATATTTGGAGAAGATGGAGTACATGCCCACTATCTCCCATTATTTAATGGAAATACTGCAGACAAATCCATTTAGTCTGTACTGTGATCCATCATGGAGACACAGAGTTATCTTTCCACAGTCTTTCCTATGTGACCTCTTATACACAAAATGTCTCTGCCCTTGGGGTATAGGACAGCCCAAACAAGGCCCCCTGAGACAAATAGAATGTAATATGTGACATTATACTCAACAGCATGCAGAAAGTACACACTGGAAAAAACACGTTAGACAAGCAGGATTAGAGGAGTACAACTGAGAAACTTAATGCTGAGATGCATGATTTCAAGACCCTAAGAGCAAGACCCACATCAGGGTGATTAAGTAGTTATCAATGGATACAGTTCCCTTGCCACTCACATTGTAATGGTTTATAAACTTGCCCTATAATATCATTCAAATTAATCATTGATTGACACCTCCAGTCAAAGTTGAAAAAAAATTCCATTTCTGCCATGTTAGATAAGTTATATCTCACCTTTTGGCTCATATAGATACCTAGGCACTTAGGTGGAATGGGGAGGGCTCTAGTTGGTTAGTCTTGCCTGTTGGCATCACCAGTGCTCCTGCTGCCACTGAGGATCCTGCTCCTGGCATATTCTATTATCTGTTGGGGCCTGATGCTGTGGGCTGACTCAGAAACGGCTTCATTATGGTCTTTCCTGCTGATTACAGACTAGGCAACCAAGAAGTCCATCCTTTTATTTCATATTCCATTGCACTATGCAGCCATCCAATTTTCCATCAGATTTCCCAGGAAATGTCCCTCTTTCCTTCTTGGATTTAGTTACTTCTAGCCCCTGATTTTCTCTTCCTCGTCATGGGTCTGCACCGCCCAAATGAAATAAGCATTAATGAAGAGGAAGGGTCCTTAATAGGTGCCTAGAACATTCTATTGTTCATCCTGAAACACATAAGCATATGGAAATTGAGCATCTGTATATCTCAGGTGCCTCCTTCACATAATGGGAGGTTTTAATTAAATCTACGGTTAATAAATGACTGTTTTTGGAACTCTTAGAACAACCTTTCAGCACAATCCTTTGGACAGCCTTGCAGCTGCCTCAGAAGTCAAGGCATAGCCAAGTGGGCTCTTACTTCCCACATTCTCCCTCTGAACTAGAGAAGTTTTTTTTTTTGGTTTGTCTTTTTTTTTTTTTTTTTTTTTTGAGACTGAGGCTCACTCTGTCGCCCAGGCTGGAGTGCAGTGGCAGGATCTCGGCTCACTGCAAGCTCCACCTCCCGGGTTCACGCCATTCTCCTGCCTGAGCCTCCCGAGTAGCTGGGACTACAGGAGCCCGCCACCACGCCCGGCTAATTTTTTTGTATTTTTTTTTAGTAGAGACAGGGTTTCACCATGCTCTTGATCTCCTGACCTCGTGATCCGCCTGCCTCGGCCTCCCAAAGTGCTGGGATTACAGGCGTGAGCCACCTCGCCCGGCCGGTTTTTCTTCGTTTACATAATTTATATAAATTTCAGTTAATGAAAAGAATATATTTTATTTATTTCCCTTTGTTGAATAGATGTGCAGATTTGCAGACTAGTCTCGATGAACTGATCTCCATGCATTCATAACTGATTTCCATGACTGTCCAAAAGAGGTGTGTGTGGTTAAAAATCTGCCAGGCACTATAAGATCTATGAATCTGTGCAGGGTTTGACTCCTAGCCTTTACCACAACTGCAAGCTTCTGCGCTAGTGATGAACGTTGGGCATAATATTTCCAACTCTAGCATTTTCTCTTTAGAGACACTGCCAAATTTACTTGAATAGAAATTAAGAGTCATGGAAGATTATCCAATGCACCTTTTTAAAGTAGAGAATTGAGGGTTTTTTTTAAGGGTATGTATAGCCCTACTTTCACTTACACGGTAATCAGAAACCAAACGCTACCAGGAGAAAATGTAAAAACATAAGAGACTGTGACGTCACATGTACCTCCATACAGCTGTCTCAGGTAAAGTCATAAGAGCAATGATTTGCTGAAGGTCTGTTGCAGGCAACTGCATTACCATCTTCTTCTGCTAAATTTGATCTGCTTTTACCTGATCCTTGACTTGGTGCCTATTTTCCAGGAAACACTATGACTAAGAAAAAATTCCCAGCAGCAAATCCAGCCAGTTTCACTGGCTCATGAAGAAATTCCCCAGTTTCCACAGCTGCATTTTATGAGTGAAAGCACTTTCTCTCTGAGAGTTCTAATTCTCTCCTTTGTCATAGATATTGGAAGTTGATTTTCATAGATTTGCAGTAGGCAGTGATTTGTAGGTTGCGCTATAGAAAAGCCCTTTGGGAGTTTTCTAATAAAGGTAGTACAGCAAATGTTGAAACCATGCCAGAAGATCAGGCATAACAATTTACTATCATCCATGTGCCCTTAGAGAAGACCTAAAGAGATTAGGAAGACATCTGGAAATGGAGGCCCAAGGATGCTAGATATTACAGCTTCTGGACATCTGAAAATAAGAATATAACCATGTTCATTTTTATATTGTGCTGATAATGTTTTCTGATTTATATGGATATCTGGTTTATCTGCCTCTGGAAAGAGAGCAGCTCTCTAGCCTGTGGCTCCAAAGCGGACATGCACCAAGTACTAAGTAATGAAGGAAGATCAGTCAATTTGTAACGTCTCTGAAGTGCTGCCTCAAGGCCATTTCCGTTTTCTGCCTTTAAAGACATAACTAATTGGTGAGATCCAACAAATAAGAGAGTGGTTACGTGGGCACCTTAAGACCGGCTAAATTGGGAGACCCTACTCCTCTCCTTGAAGGAAATCTCATTTAATTTGTAAAATAAAATTCTAAGGCCCTCCAAGCATATGAATGGACTTTCTTCTCTGCCAGGGCATTTTTAAAATTTAACCTGAAAGACTGTTTCAGTCCATGACAGGAAGTGGGGATCGGACATGTCTCATTATTCCTCTCCAGAATTAACATCAACAAAGACCTTTAAGTCTGATAAGAAGCATTTATAATCTATTCTCTCTGAAGCCTGCTAATCTGCATGATTAAACTTTGGTCTCTAAAACCTCTTATCGTGCACCCAGACATTTTCTTTCTATTATTCCCAGGTATTTAGATAAACTCAGCCAATTGTCAACCAGAAAACTTTAAGTCTACCTGTAACCTGAAAGCCCCCCCATCGAGTTGCCCTGCCTTTCTGGACCGAACCAATGTATTTCTTAAATGCATTTGATTGATGTCTCATGTGTCCATAAAATTTATAAAATCAAACTGCACCCTGACCACCTTGGCCACATGTTCTCAGGATCTCCTGTGGACTGTGTCAAGGACCATGGTCACTCATATTTTGGTCAGAAGAAATCTCTTCAAATATTTTAGAGTTTTACCCTTTTCATTGACAAAATCCTTTTAATTGGAACCTGTGAATATTTCCAAATACCATGAGAAAAATACTAGTTGAAACAGGTTGTGTGTTGTTATTTGTTTTGTTTTTCATAATCCTATCATTCCCTAAAAATTACATTGCTTAGCAGTATTTGAGGTTTTATTGTGTATAGAAAAGGTATTTGTTTATATATCCAAAATTCATTCTGTCACTTAGAATTATATCCGCCTGCATGTGAGAGAAATCTGACAGTACTAACTTCACTGAATAGTTTCTGTTTCTTTTTTTTTTCTTTATTATTATTATTATTATACTTTAAGTTTTAGGGTACATGTGCACAATGTGCAGGTTAGTTACATATGTATACATGTGCCATGCTGGTGTGCTGCACCCATTAACTCGTCATTTAGCATTAGGTATATCTCCTAATGCTATCCCTCCCCCCTCCCCCCACCCCACAACAGTCCCCAGAGTGTGATGTTCCCCTTCCTGTGTCCATGTGTTCTCATTGTTCAATGCCCACCTATGAGTGGTTTCTGTTTCTAACGTGATAAGCAGTTGGGAGGTAAGCAGGTTACACAGGTGCAGTGGTTTCACAAGGCTACCAGGAACTCGTGTTCTTCTGCCTTTCTTTTCTACCATCGTGTTAGGATGCCTCTCATCCTGTAGTGACAAGATGGTTAAACCACCTGCATTTGTGTTCCAGGAAGGAAATTAGAGACATGTGTGAAAGGTGAAATATATGTGACAGCCAGGTCATTGTTTTACTCAGGGAAACAGTAGCTCTTATGGAATTTCCACTCAGCCAATACATCTTGGATGACAAAATTAGGATGCAGCACCATCCCCAGCTGCAAGGAATTCTGAAGAGGAAAGTTTCTGGTTTTAAACTGGACACATTGCCATCCTCAACAATGTCATAAAATTTTGGGTAAGAAATAAGTTTCTAAATGTTGGGTAAGAAAGTAGCAGTGTCTAATACAGTCTACTCCTTGAGCTACATACATGTCCTTTCAAAGGAGACAATCTCAAAATCTCATCCAGTTTCTTAATCCTGTTGAAAGTCCAGATTTTTGGGTGATATAAACTCCTCTCTGCCTGGATAAAATGAAGTTCCTATGGTCTCTTGATCTTTAAGATTAAAAGACAAGTTATCACCTTATATTTGATATGCAATGGTGGAAAATGAGACATATAGCAATAACATGTATTTCCACTTGGAGAAAGGGATGATGGGAAACAAATTTTCCTGTTGCACAGAAATACTGAGCACTCTAAGATGTTCTTAGGTATTCTTTTTTGTTTGTTTGTTTGTTTTTTTGACAGAGTGTCCCTCTGTCGCCCAGGTTGGAGTGCAGTGGCGTGATCTCGGCTCACTGCAAGCTCCGCCTACCGGGTTCACGCCATTCTCAGTTGGCTTTCATCCTCCTGATCAAAAGTTGTTTGTTTTAGAGAACTGAGCCATAAAAGAGTTGGAGAGGTATTTTTAACTTTGTATATTGTCACTTCTAAATAATGTTGGTTCTTTTAGTAAGGAAAAGGGGACAAAGGATATTTATCAGCCAGCCAACAGTGTTTTCCACTGTTTCTGAACCCACAGCTGGCATAACACACTTGGTGAAGTGGATGGAGAGAGTCTGTCTTGTGAACTCTAGCCAAGTTCCATGTGGTCATTCGAGTTCAAGTGTGCTAGGAAAAGGTTGTCTAATTCCCTGTACCACATATTCTGGGTGTGGGGGTGAAGATTATGGAACAATGATGACATGCAATATACTTTTCAATATTTTCATGAAGTCAGCTATTGACAGATTAATGCTGTATAACAAAACTCCATGGCATAAAACTACCATCATTTACCCTAATCCTATGTCTGTAGATTGTCTGAGACTTGAATGATCTAGCTTGGACTCAGCCAGTCTTGGCTCCATGCTGAAAGGTCCATGTCTGTTCCATGTGCCTGTCATCCTACTTGGATCAGTGAACTAGCCAATATCTGTCCTCAACAATGAGACAGAAACACAAAAGGGCACACCCATCCATCCAAGAATATTTTGAGCCTCTACCAGTATCACCAGTATCTACCAGTATCACATCTACTAAATTCTATTAGTTAAAAGAAGTCACATGGCCAAGTCCAAATTTACTTTGCTTCCTTAGGGTAATACTCCAAAGACACATAGCAAAGGGTGTAGATACAGGGAGGGTAAATAAGTGAGGCCAATAGTTGAATTTACCATAAGAAAGCTTGATGATAAAATCTAATCACAGCACTTATTCCCCATTTGAAGCAGCGGGAACAATTTTCATATATTCTATAATAGAACATAATTTCTAAGCAAAAAGATTTATTTGTAAGGATGCATGCTATCTTTCTTCTATCTTTGTAAAAGAAGTTGCTGGTCACAGCTGGTTAAATTTATGTGCTTCCAACAAGAAAAAATACTTACTTCATGGTGGTTTACGTCAGGAAACTTGAGACTAATGGAGGAATCTAATCAAGAGTTTCTGGTCATTTTGTAAATACTTTTGAAAAACTGTGGTTTATATTTTTGTATTATTATTATTATTTATTTTTATGTTTTATATGATTATTTATATTTATATTATATAGAATTATATATTTATATTTTTAGATTTATTTTTATATTTTATTGTATATTTTTATATTTTTAAAATAAATTTAGGGATAACATATTTATTTATGTCACAGAATGTTAATACTGGAAGAATTAAGGTTGGTGCAAAAGTAATTGCGGTTTTTGTCATTAAAAGCAATGGCCGGCCAGGCACTTTGGGAGGCTGAGGCGGGCAGATCACGAGGTCAGGAGTTCGAGACCAGACTGACCAACATGAAGAAACTCCGTCTCTACTAAAAATCCAAAAAAAATAGCCTGGCGTGGTGGCACATGCCTGTAATCCCAGCTACTCAGGAGGCTGAGGCAGGAGAATGGCTTGAACCCAGGAGACGGAGGTTGCAGTGAGCCGAGATCACACCACTGCACTCCAGCCTGGGTGACTGAGTGAGACTCTATCTCAAAAAAAAAAAAAAAAAAACGGCCAAACGGCAATTACTTTTGCACCAACATAATATTCATATTCAGCGAGCTCATTTATTCCAAACTCCAGTCAAGTCTAGAAATTATTTTTCTGTCACATGCCTTATAGATGGACTGTTCATGTGACTTCCAGTGTGGGACAGTCACAGCTTCAGGAGGCAGCTTATTCCATTGTCCCATGAGTCTGGTTGAAAAAGTTAGCTTAGGGTCTTCCTCCCTTTGCCCTTAATTTTAGAGACCTAGAAAATGCTCTGCCAATTCTATTTTAAAAGTATCTGTATATTAACTTCCAAAAGTTTCCATGACAAGTTACCACAAACGGAGTGGTTTAAAACAATGGAAACTTATCTCTCAGACTCAGATGAGAGATTTACGAATTTTCAAAGCTAGAACCTGAAATCAAGGTATCAGCAGAGCCGTGCATCCTCTGAAGGCTCTAGGGAAGAAAACTTCATGCTTCTTTGGAGCTTCCATTGGATCCCTGCAATCCTTGACATTCCTTGCTTATAGCTTCATCTTTTCAGTCTCTGCTTCTGTCTTCAAATGGCCTTCCTCCCTCTGTGTGTCTCTAGTTGTCTTCCCCTTTTCTCATAAGGATAACAGTTGTTGGATTTAGTGCCTACCCTAATCCAGTATGACCTCACCTTAACTAATTACATCTTCAAAGACTATTTCCAAATATAATCACATTCTGAGGTTCCAGATGTACATGAATTTTGGGGGAACACTGTGCAACATACTAAAAAGACCATTTCAAATATTTGAAGAGAGGTACCATGCTCCCACCTTGGTCTCTTTTTTAGGTCTAATACCCTGAGCACCCTCAAATCCTTTTAAATTATATTACTCCCAGGCCTTCACCATCTAGGTTAACTTCCTTCAGTTTTATTTAAAAGTATTCATAAACTGACACTGTGAATCAGAAATGGGTAATTTTATTTATTTTGAGCATAACTACTACTAAAAGAAATTTACAAAAAACGTTATTTGTAAGCTTCCATACCCAAGAATCAGAATGTGATTTTGTCCAAATAATAATTTAGCCTGCTGAGAAAAATGCCTGCCCCCGATCTCGTACCTGGTGATCCAAGATGGGAAAGATATTAAATCAGAAATCATCTGCACCATCCTGATACTGACTTTTATACTCCATTGGGTGCTTTTTAGATTGTATTTTACTACCTATGTCAAAGACCGATACTGGTCAAGACTTATTACCCACCAATGGGCTGTAAAGAGACTGCTGAAAAGGGCATTGGAGGCCACTGAAAGCATAGATCACAGTCTGCTAGGGCAAAAACACCCCTGGCCTGGGACTTTATTAACGTTAGACTTTCTTTACTGCCCTTTCAGCTGTGCTTCAGAGCCTCCCATTGCAGCCGAGGCTTTGGAGTGTCAAGGGCTGCAGAAGAATGAGAATATTGAAAATATGCCTCCTTCTATCCTAAAACACCAAAGCAGGGACCACATCTCAATTAATTCAATCCGAAGATTATATACCTGGGCATAGGGCCCTGTTCTGAACTCTGTAGAAGAATTAATCAATCACAATATTTATTTAACTTCTCCCATATATTAGACAAGGTATTGTCTCTGGGTTGACAGTCTAAAGGTGGATGAAACAAAAAGTGATAATATAAGTAAGATGTGGAATAAATACAGCTTAGTACGTGACTGCTCAGCCTCTGGAGCTATACAGACTTGGATTCAAATTTTGGGCCTGCTTCTTATTAAATAAATGTGACTTTGGTTAATTTACCGTTCTCTCAAAGCCTCAAATTCTTCATCTGGAATATGAAAATAATAAATCTATGTAATTTTTGATAAAAATATTTGTACATATTTGGGGGTATATGTGACATTTTGTTATATACATGACCTTTTGACCCAGCAATCCAGTAATGACTGGGTATATACCCAAAGGATTATAAATCATTCTACTGTAAAGACACATGCCCACATGTTTATCACATCACTGTTCACAAAGCAAAAACTTGGAACCAAACCAAATGCCCATCAGTGATGGACTGGATAAAGAAAATGTAGCACATATACACCATGGAACACAGCCATAAAAAAGGGTGAGTTCATGTCTTTTGCAGGGACATGGATGAAGTTGAAAATCATCATTCTTAGCAAACTAACATAAGAACAGAAAACCAGACACCACATGTTCTCACTCATAAGTAGGAGGTAAACAATAAGAACACATGGACACAGGGAGGGAAACATCATACACCAAGGCCTGTCAGGGGATGGGGGACTAGGGTAGGGATAGCATTAGGAGAAATACCTAATGTAGATGACGGGTTGATGGGTGCAGCACACCACCATGGCACCATGGCACGTGTATACCTGTGTAACAAACCTGCATGTTCTGCACATGTATCCTACAACTTAAAGTATAGTAAAGAAAAAAAATTTAAAAACATAAATATACACTTACCCTATGACCCAGCAATCCCACATCTATATATCTATCCTAGAGAAATAAAAATGTATGTATACATACACACACACACACACACACACACACACACACACACACAAGACTGTATAATGATTAAGTCCGGGTATTTTGGGTATCCATCACTGCAAATAGTTATGATTTCTGTAAGTTGAGAACATTTCAAGTCTTCTGTTCTAGCTATTTTATGTATGTATGTATTTATTTATTTATTTACATTTGGAAACAGGGTCTCTAGACTGGAGTGCAGTGGCATGATCTTGGCTCAATGCAATCTCCACCTTCCCAGCTCAAGTGATCGTCCTGCCTCAACCTTCTGAGTAGCTACGACTACAGCTGCACACTGTCACACCCAGCTAATTTTGTTCTAGCTATTTTAAAATATGCAATACATTGTTGTTAACGATAGTTGCCCTATTCTGCTATCAAATATTATAACTTATTCCTTCTCTCTAACTGTGTTTTATAGGGTTGTTGTGAGGACTAAATGAAAAAACTGCATGCAACGTATTTAGCAGAATATCTGACACACAATTAAGTTTTGTTTTTTATTGTAATAGTGAAAGACAAAGCAAAACAATTTTTAAAGGAAAATAAGGCTGAAGGATGCACACTACCTGATTGTAACAGTTACTATGGTGGTGCATTAAACAGGACAGCGTGGAATTGGCATGGGGTATATATTGATATGGTTTGGCTCTGTGTCCTCACCCAACTCTCATGTTGAATTGAAGTTGCAGCCAATTGGAGTTGCAACCACAGTGTTAGGGGTGCAGCCTGGTGGGAGATGATTGGATCATGGGGGTGCTTTCTAATGGCTTAGCACCATCTCCGCAGTGCTATCTCATGATAGAGTTCTCAAGAGATCTGGCTGTTTAAAAATGTGTGTACCTTTCTTCTTCACTCTCTATTCCTCCTGCTCCAGCTATGTAAGACATGCCCTTTGCCTTCAGCCATGATTTTAAGTTTTGTGAGGCCTCCCCAGTCATGCTTCCTGTACAGCCTACAGAACTGTGAGTCAATTAAACCTCTTTTCTTTACAAGTTACTCAGTCTCAGGTAGTTCTTCATTTTAAAAAAATGCAAGAACGGACTGAGACATATACGAAGGCTGGTGGTATAGAATACATAGACCAGATACCCAAATGTAGACATAAACAGAAAGTCAATTGATTTTTGACAAAGGTTCTAAAGTAATCCAATGGGAAAAGATTAGTATATTCATTTAAATGTGCTAGACAGTTGGACATATATAAGAAAAAACAAAACAAAACAAACCACCTCCTCAAAAAACACTTTATGCCACATATAAAAATTAATTCAAAATGTACCATAGACCTAAAGTTAAGAGCTGAAATTTTAAAAATCAAAAAAAAAGAAACCACAGGAGAAAAATCCTGTGACCCTGCATTGCACAAAAATTCCTTATCACAGGAAGAAGCAAACCATAAAAAGACAACTGATAAATTGAACTTTCTTTATAATGGCGAACTTTTCTCTTCAAAAAAGACTGCCAAAAATGTGAAATTTCTACAAGTTTGGAGAATATATTTACATAACGTATGTCTGATAAAAATTTGTATCCGGCATATGCAAAGATATCTTAAAACTTAAGAAGAAATATAATTTGATTTAAAAATAGTGAGCAAAATATTTAATAGATACTTCAACAAAAATGTCAAAGGAACGGCAAGTGAACACATTAAAAAGTAACTTGTGTGGGCCAGGTGCAGTGCTCACACCTGTAATCCCTACACTTTGGTAGGCCAAGCTGGGATAATCACTTGAGCCCCTAGTTCAAGACCATCCTGGCAACATAGTGGGACCCTGTCCCTACAGAAAATTTTAAAAATTAGTTGGGCATGATGGCACACACCTGTTATTCCAGCTATTCTAGAGGCTGAGGTGGGAGGATGGCTTGAGCTCAGGAGGTGGAGGTTGCAGTGAGTCATGATCATATCATTGCATTCCAGCTTGCATGACAGAGTGAGACTCTGCCAAAACAATAATAATAATCTGCATGCTCGATCATTAGGGAAAAATTTATCAAAGCCACAATGAAATACCACTGCACTAGAATTACTAAAATTCAAAAGACTAAAAATACAAAGCATTGACAATAATGTGGAGTAACTCTTAACAGTCACATATTAACATATTACTGGGAAGGTAAAATGGTATAGCCACTTTAGAAAATAGTTTGTCTCTTTCTTATAAAGTTAAAAAATTAAACACATACTCACCATACAGCCCAGTATTCCACTCTTAGGTATTTACTCAAAAGAGATGAAAACAGAAATGTTTACACAAAAACCTGCACATGAATGCTCCTTGTTTCTTTATTTATAGTCACCAAAACTGCAACAACTCAAATGTCCATCATCTTTTGAATGAATGAAGAATTGTAGTGGATCCACGTAATGCATTAATAGTCAGCAACAAAAAGAAACAAACTACTAATTCATGTAAGAATATGGATGAATCTCAAAAGCATTGTGCTAAGTGCAAGAAGCTAGACACAGAACACTACATCTTATCTGATTTCATTTTATGACATTCTAGAAAAGGAAAATCTACAGAGACAGAATAAATCAGTGGTTGCCAGGCGCTGCCATTGTACGAAAGGAATTGACTGCAAGGGACTTGGGAGATAGTTTAAGGGGACTGGAATGTTCTATATCTTGCTTGTGATGTTGGTTACATGCCTATCTACTTTTACTGTCTGTAAAGTATAACTGAATATAGTTTATCACAATAACACAAAACACATTATAAAGTCATGTTTTATTTATCATCAAAAGAAACAGAAAAATAAAGATTCATACAATAATCAGAATATTAAAATAAATCTTATCTAAGGGTAAAGTAGACCTCCACCTTCTTTTAAAGAGGAAGACAATCAAGTCCAGAAAATAACACTGATTACTAATGGGTTACATACAATTTGACCTTTATTGTCCGGGAGGGCTTTTAAACCTAGCGTAGTTGTCGTAGAAATGTAGCAAGAACCTCAAGCAATTAAATAAAAGGCAAAGCATTCCTATCACTCCCCCATAAAATGATGTATTTGTTTTAGATTAGCAACTGGAAAAGAAATGTAGAGGAGACGTGTAGCAAAAGCACTGGAAGAGGGATTCCTAACTTAGTCCCAAGAGACTTCCTTTGAAGAGTGATTCCAGGAGCTACTGTGCAAAGTGACAGCATGGCAACAAGGGAAATCAATTCTGCAAATCTAGATGGCTTGGAGAAGATAGTAGAATGGATCAATTATATGAGAAATAAAGACACTCGATTGGGTAGCATGATGTGAGTAGAAAAACACATATGGTGTCATATAAATATGACTTTGAAGATAAAGGTGTGGACATTGATCCTGTTCTGAATCCATAAGGGGATATTTTTGTCAACTTACAGACTCCTTCTTTTAAGAGATCTCAAAACTGTCACTTGGCTAGCCTAATAGTAGGGAGCCACTCGGTGGGTTTTTCTTAATTGGGAAAGTGAAATAAATTGTTTGAGATGTGTAAGTATTTACTTAACCTTTTTTAAGTGGGGTTGCTGAGGATAAAGTAGACATCAAAGGGCTGAAATCTAGACCTGGCTCTACCAGCTTTATCTGTATGAACTTCTGAGCCTCATCTTTATTCTTTTTGTTAAAAAAAAAAAGTAATTCTGTGTGTGGAAGGGTGGTACTAAAGACACATATAATAATTAACTGCCTATTTGGTCTTACATAAATGATAAATTGGGATGCTGATGAAGAGCTATGCGTCTCTATATAAATACTTATAACCTATTCTCTTTGAGAAGGATAAGAGATATCCCAGAGAGTTCATATTTGAATTGATCTCTGGTTTAGTACAAATGAGGAATGACTCCAAATAGGCTATCAAAAATTAATGTTTGTGTCCAGGGAATTCTCCAGTGAGCACTGAGGTTAAAAGGTAATGGATGTACAAAAGGAGGAAATATGGTCCTGTAACTAAAGATCAATATGAGATGGTGGCTTACATCTATAAATACAGTGTCCAAGGGGGTAATTCCAAATTGAGCGTATAAGGTTAAAGACAATCAAATGTCTTTTTAGTCACATTCATAGAACGAAATGACCAAAGAAATCAGAGATAAGCTCTGTGGAGCTTTTGCTGTAATGCGGATGGATGGCATAGACAAAATCAAACTGCTCACTCCCAAATGGCTTCTGTCCTTCCATCAAACGAAAAAAAGAAGATAGAATGAAGATTCATGAGGAAGACAGGATTTCAAGATGGTGAAGAAGGGTTCTTTTCATCTGGCAGCCACAGCTCTTTAAAAGTTTAGAAAGCAGGCTGGTGCTGTGGCTCACGCCTGTAATCCCAGCACTTTTGGGAGGCCAAGACAGGAGTATTGCTTGAGACCATGAGTTGGAGACCAGCGTAGGCAACATAGCAAGACCCTATTTCTATAAGTAAATAAATACATACAAAAATAAGTGTAGGAAGCAGCATTCTCAGTATTGGAGCTGAAGGGGAAAATGAGCATCTAAGGCCAGAAGCAATGCTGAACACAGAAAATGGGCTTCCACGAATATACTGGAGCAAGCCACATGAAAGGAAAGACTCATGTAGAAAACAGATGAAGAGACACCTCTTATTGTTTGCACTATTTTTGCTAGTACTTCACAAAGTGTGGCCAAATAATATGAACCTCATATGAAAATTTTAAAAAAATTACCCCATGTTCTCAGTTATAAGTGAGAGCTAAACATTGGGTACACAAGGAAACAAAGAGGGGAACAATAAATTCTGAGGATTCCAAAAGTGGAGGCAGCGTTGCAAAATGACCTATCAGGAACTATGTTCTCTACTTGGGCATTAGGATCATCAGAGGACCAAACCTCAGCATCATACAATATACCCATTTAACAAACTTGCACACATACTGCAGAATCTGAATTTAAACAAATAAATAAATAAAATGTGAATAATACAAAGAGTTTAAAAACAAGCAAATAAATAAATAAAAGAAATTTAAAATCTCTTTTTCAGATACATTCAGAGTACACTCCTTAAAATTGAGTGAGAACAAGCTTGGTCATTATCTCTTTAATGTGAATAGGAATTGTTGAAATAATTTACAAAAAACAGGTGGAAATCATCCCCATAATAACTTATTCTATGAAATGACCTGTAAACAAATATAGTTTTGCAGGAAATCCAACAGGATAACACCACCCTAAAACGTGAGCTAGAAACCGAAGCACATATGCAAACAAAGGATTATCCATGATGGGATATGGATTCTAAAAGAAAGAATCAAGGAGTCAAGGAGCACAACATTATCAGCACTCTCCAGGTGAGATTTTATAACAGACCAATGGAGAATCTTTGGTACAAAATGTAACAGTGGCTGTGGGGATGTTGCACAAATGTCAGACGTGTAGAAATATAAAATACTATTTTTTCATTATGTTCCTGGCTTAATGACAGTCTGTCAATTATATTTTTCTACAAAAATGTATAAATCCGTGTTCTAATTGGTAGATCAATAATCTTGTGACTTTGATCAATTTGGGTCAGTTCTTTGACATGTCATAACAGGAAGAGCTTTAAAAAAAAAAAAAAGAAAAGGTCTTATTTTGTGTTCACTATGTGAGCGGACCCTAAACCTAGATGATGAGGTAAAAATACCAGGAGCTTGGCCGGGCGCAGTGGCTCACGCCTGTAATCCCAGCACTTTGGGAGGCCGAGGCGGGCGGATCACGAGGTCAGGAGATCGAGACCATCCTGGCTAAAACGGTGAAACCCCGTCTCTACTAAAAATACAAAAAATTAGCCGGGCGTAGTGGCGGGCGCCTGTAGTCCCAGCTACTCGGGAGGCTGAGGCAGGAGAATGGCGTGAACCCGGGAGGCAGAGCTTGCAGTGAGCCGAGATCAGGCCACTGCACTCTAGCCTGGGCGACAGAGCGAGACTCCGTCTCAAAAAAAAAAAAAAAAAAAAAAAAAAAATACCAGGAGCTTAACATAAAAGACCTGAAGTTTTTACCTAATACCTTACCATTAAACTTCATCTTATTCATAATATTCTGAAACCATTCACCATCAATCTGTTTGAGGCTCTATTGGTTACAAATAATAAGAGTAAGAATAAACTGAGTTGGAGAAATAATCAAAAACATTTTTTAAGAAACAGAGAAGGAAGGAAAAGTGAGGTATACATAATTCACTTCCTCTTTTACAAATTGGCTTTCTCCCCCCAATAATTCCCAAGTTTATATCACCTCAATTCAAGGTAACTCAGTACATCGAAACCAGAAATCTCTCATCTACATTTCCAAATTCTGAAATTCTGAATTTGATTTCCTTATCTTAGGTCCAGTGCCCAACCTGGGCCAAACTGCTGTAATTAAAGAGGGACCCACAGGAACTAAGAGGGCTGTTGTGAGAGAGCAGGAGGTGCAATTTTTTGTGGGTAGATGGGTATAATTGTCAAGGAGAGTCTTCATGTCTTCAAAAGTGTAGCAAAATATCCTGTACATCGGTGCTTCCCAAGCTTTAATATTTCCATGAATCTTCTGGGAGCCTTGTTATACTGATTGGAATTCAGTAGGTGGCGTGAAGCCTGAGAATTTGCATTTCTAGCAAGTTCCCAAATGATGTCCACATTGCAGATCTACAGATTACACTAACCCCTCCCCCCAAAATTGTTTGCCTTCTTGTTTACATATCTAAATGATTACTATCCTGGGCACGGTGATGCACAACTCAGGGCTTCCTTCAAGGTGAAACTTGTCATGAGAAATGAAACTAGCTGACAGCCTCCAGCCATGGGTGCCTCTGGGATGTGCTTTAGCTTTCAAACGAAGACCACGTATGCCTAAGCAGCTCCCAGCCACTGAGTGAGCATGGTGATGGTACACAGCTTGTCATTTCTGGCCAGCACATGAACAAGGTACTTGGGTGATGATGATGGGCATAAAGGTAAGTCTCCTGAGGAAAGGAGGAGGACAGAGAGGAAAAAATAAAAATAAAAAAAGGTTTAGCATTGGGAATAAAGAATAAGCAGCTCATCAGGGAAAATGCTGAGTTTAAGGTATGAAACAGAGAACAACAGCATTGCAAAAGGGAAAGAATGGTTGCGATGAAGGGATGGCTTTCCTAAAGAAGGGAAGAATCAAAACACGAAGTTGATGTCTGTGTTCAAAGATTTCAGAATTGCCTCAAGGAAGATGGTTTTCAGTTTTCTGTACTGCTTTAGAAAACAAGACCATGTTTCTGCTGGAAAATAAATTCCATTTCAATATAAGAAAAAGTTTTTAACAGTGGAGCTACCCCCATCATTATATGATATATGAAAGAGTAAGTTCTCCGTTGCCAAAGCATCCAAGTAGGAACTGTTGGAATGGGAACTTGTTTGAGGGCATTACCAAATTAATGATAGCTGACTGGCACCAGGAGACCAGAAAGGGCTTAAGGCAACATATAGGCTACTTGGGTGAGGTCCAAGCTCCTGACATTAGGAGTTGGTAAGTCATTATTTCCAAAGTCTAGCTGTGCTCCGTGCCTCCTGTGATGACAGATGTTGGGGTCATCAATGTAAGTAAAACTCACAAGGATTCTTGCCTTCAGGAAGTATAAATATTAGTAGAGGAAGATAGACATTAATAAAATAATTATGAAATGAATGTATATATAAACCAAGATACAGACAATAAAGAAAAGGAAGTGATTTCTTTAAGTGTTCTAGGCTAAAAACGATCAAATTCCTGAGAATGTGACACCTGAACTAAAATGTCAGGATGTGAGGGTGTAGAATTAGAGAGAGAGAGAGAGTGGGTGCATGTGTGTTGGACTCAAAAAAAATGTATCCTGCAGGCCGAACGTGGTGGCTCACGCCTGTAATCCCAGCCCTTTGGCAGGACGAGGTGGGCAGATCACTTGAGGTCAGGAGTTCAAGACCAGCCTGGCCAACATGGCAAAACCCCATCTCTACTAAAAAATATAAAAATTAGCCAGGTGTGGTGGTGGCTGCCTGTAATCCCAGCTACTCAGGAGGCTGAGGTGGGAGAATTGCTTGAACCCAGGAGGCGGAGGTTGCAGTGAGATTGTGCCATTGCACTCCAGCCTGGGCAACAAAGGGAGACTCCATCTAAAAAAAAAAAAAAGAAAAGAAAAAGAAAAAAAGAAAAAAAAAGAAGAAAAGATGTATTCGCCAGAGTTCTGGAAGGAAATATACAACATATTAAAAAAAAAAAACTAATCTAAAAGAGTTTACTGAAAAGACTACTTCAGAAGTGTGGACAGGCATACCATCAAGGAATGAATTGGCAGTACTGGAAGCCTGAAGGACCAACATAAGGAGCTCTTCCTGGATCCCAGGGAGAGATGCAGAAGAAGCGGGAGAAGGCTTGACTGATGGGAACTGTTGCCTTAAGGAGGGAACACAGCACTCAAACCCTAAGTGAGCCCGAGTGATGTCACCTGCAGAAGTCAACATACCAGAGCCCAGAACAGAGGTGAAACAGATAGAGAGAAGATTTCGAGAATAACCAGCATGAGGAGAATGGTTGTGCAGGATAAGGATGGAGGGTAGGCTGGAGCCAAAATGTGAAGGAATTTAAACTATGTTATGGAATCTGGACTTTATCAAGAACAACAGAAACCAGAATGTCAGGGCTAACCAGCAGATCAGGAAAGTGCTTCGGATCAGGAGGTCTCAGCTAGTTATTAGGATCCCTGCTGTAGAAATTGGGGACTTTAGTCCTATGATTCCTGTAGGGGTAGGAGATTAGACCATAATGAATTGGTAAAGAACTTTCACTTTTGATTGATAGTGCCTGCCTGGAATGCTTTGTTGAGAAAGATCTGAAGTACTATCCAATTTTAGCAGGAGAGTACTGCGATTGATGAGGGATGGGCAATCTCATCAGTACGTCTTAAAAAAAAGTAGGTAGATTATCTGTTTCATATCCTTAGACACATAAAGATGGCAAAATCTGATAAATTAAAGATCACAAATTTCAAACTTTTTTATCAGTGGCCTGATAATTTTGAAATTAAATGTACTCTAGAAATTCTGAGGCTTCTAACAATTTAAAAGATGAGACGCTTGTGCTGAAAACTTCATTGATTAAGGAGGCTCTTCAAAATTGAACATGCCAAGGAAACAAGAGTTGGAAACGTGGGAAAATTCATCCTCTGTATTTAAGAAGATTTAAAAATCATGTTTTGATATGAAACTCTTTCTGGTTTGCATTTTTTTCTATCTTGTTTATGGGAAAATAAAAAGAACTTTACTGAATAAGTTGATAATCAGCTCTGAAAATTAAAAAAGAAGTAAAAACTTGCTATGAAGCCCATTTGTTTCTTATATGTAACGTGAACGGGAAAGAATATGGCATTTCATAGGGTTTGCTTTGCACATAGAAGATCCTTCCTGATTTGAGGAGAGGAAATAAGGTATAAATAGTTTTCCTTTGAGTGTGAAGAGTTAATAAATGTGTTTACATTTTTAATGCAACAATTATTATTATTAATTACCATTTATTGAGCATTTACTACATTCTATTAACTCTGCCAAGCATTTATATACATTTTCTCATTGACTTCTCATACTTAGTGGCATGCTCTTAAACCGGCTCTTCAAAATAAAATATATATAAATATATTTATTTGTAGTATAAATATTTATATATTATTATAAATATTTACTTGTATTATAAAATAAAATAAATCTCTAATTTGTAGCATTTTTCTGATTTGTATTATTTAAACACTCCCATGAACAGTTCAGCAACCATCTCAAAAAATTCTTGAATATCAAATAATTGTCTCTCATAAGTCAATACAAGCTTGCTCCAGCACAACACTGCTTAAGAAACTGTATTTGTTAGAAACTACTGTTACGAAGATAGCTAAAGTACAGTGGCTCAAAGGAGTTTATTTTTCTCACACACAATCATCTGAGACTGGGTAGGGAGTCTCTACTTCTCACAGTTATCCCTAAACTCGGGCTGGGGGGTTGATTCTGCCATCCTCAATGCATGGCTTTACACCAGTTCTAACAGCAGCCTTTCCACACAGTGGAAGACAGAGGACGGAGAAAGGACAGGGTAATCATCCTTTAGAAGATGGTCAGAGCTGCCCATATCCTTTCTACTCATATTTCTAACTTAATCACATGGCTACGCCTATCAGCAAGAGAGGCTAGAAAATGTTGCTTGTAGTAGCCACTTGCCCAGCTCATACTTGGTACCTGGATTATGACACAGGGTGCTAGTGGTTAAAGGGTTGGGAAGGAAAAACTTTGCCTGCAATAACAAAGCCCCCTCCTCAAATCTGTGTCTGAGAAGGGGACCATTTTCTCACCGGGATTCAATGAGAAGTCTCACATTCTATCCACATGTCACGTATCTCAATGCCTACATATTTTTGCCTACCTATCTCAAGTTCTGTGTAGCTTTTGCGGCACCTCTACCCTGTCCTCTTCCCACATCATGGCAAACTTTACTTCTAACCTCTCCTATTCACTCATCTCTTGAAGTCTGTTTTTTTAAGACTGTCATTTCACTACCAGTTAACCCCCAAGCAAACAAGTCAAATATAACACTTGCCCAGAGTGCCTATATTTCTTTAGGGCAGACTTGTATTTACGACAGTGTGGCTGTGTTGTTGCACTAAGAATTAGACCACATGCCACTGGTGTCGTATGTGCAGTTAGCAACCAATCCCTTTGGATATATTATTCTTTTACCATGTGTCTTTGTATTTTTAATGTTCACTAAGCACATCGTATCTGTAATTTTTATGTTGGTTTTTGGGTAACATTTCCTTTATAACTATTATTTTTAACAGAAAAGTAAACAGCACAATGCACCGCCATGTGTCCATTCTTCAGCTTTAGCAATTATCAACATTCTGTTGTGCTGTTATTAATTGTTGAATGTTTATCTTGTTTTTAATGTCTTACAATTATAAATGTGCTGTGACAAATGGCATTTAAAACGTATTCTGTATTTAGATCATCTCCTTGGCACAGATAGTTAGAAGCAGAATTTCTGAGGGTAGTCCGTCCCACTTTTATGTACTCCACGTATCACTGAGTTAAGCAAGGGTCTATTGGTTCCATTTACACTCATACTTTTACCTACTACGGACAAGCCTTAGTCTACTTGGTTGCTTTACAGATAAAGAATGACCAAGGTGGGCTCCAAAGCTCAGGGTTAAGGTTGGCTTTCTATTGTGAACAATTCTTTTGGGACCAACTTCTGAATGTCACAGGGACTGTTGCTGTGATTGCAGAGAAACATGAGGCACATTGATAAGAGCCATGGTCAAAGTTGCAAATAAGTTATTTGTGCATTTTAACCAAAGAGCAGTTTGAACACAGGCATTTTTTTCTTCCTCCCCCAAGCCCTTCTGACAACACAACAAATGATAATCTGAAATCAAACATGACACTCTACCTGCAGGACCCAGCTCTAACAGATGGAGCTGCGTTTAAATAGCTTCATGTTGCCAGTTCCAATAAAGGAAAAGTACACAAAAGCCCAAGTCTGACGGGAAAAGGAAAAGTGCTCTGAATTTGAAAAGGAGTAGGTAAGCATAATGGTGATGAAAATTATCAGACCCCTCAGCAGCACAGAGCAACATTCCCTGGGAGGTGGGCTGGAAAAGCCATTGCTGTGGCTGCTGGCCAACTCAACATGGGTGGATGGCATAAAGTTTGGGGATGCTAAGGAGCTTTCATTTAGCTGAGATGTGGCTTGAGGGAAACCTGCCAGACTTTTGATCTGTGTTGGGCTGGTGGGCGAGCAACAGCTGCTTTTGTTATCTGAGAATGAGGCATCCTGGGGCTGTGGGACTGCTCTAGGCTTAATGATTTGGGTGTTTTATTAAATAAAGGCACTCAGATGACATTCTAGTGGAGGATGAAGCATCAAAAGGCTCAAGAAATAAAAACAACCTTTACCTTGAATATTTTCAGTTCAGTTCCAATGGGGTTGCAGTTGTATCAAGTTAAAAGACTTACAAAATACTTCACAATAACTTTTTGAGGAAAAGCCTTTTGTCCTTAACCTGATTTGAATTGGTTCCAGCACCATCTGGAGAAAGTGTTAAATTTGGTCTCTGGAATCATATATGGCAAAAAAACAAAAACAAACAAACAAAAAACTTGCTTTAGTGCTTGTAGCCCTTTTAAACCTCATCTTTCATGAAATGGTCGTAACTATTCCACGTCACCATGACCATCTGGAACTCTAGCAGGGATACCCTGGGTGTTTCATTAGTTTGCAGTTGGCTTTATCCAAATATAGCTTTGGTTGTACTATAGAGTCCTCCCGTAGCCTTGTCACAGTCTTCAAACCCATCGACACATTGAATCCACCAGCAAGCATTTGTTGGTGAATGTTATTGCCAGGCTCTGTGGGAATTGCTTGGGTTGCAAAGATAAATAAGACAGTCACTAAACTCAAAGAGCTCATAGGAAGTACAAGAGAGATGTTAAATAAATCAGTACACAACAATGTGCAAGGGCAAGTTGTATAACCATTAGGAGAGGCATGAAGGTGCAATCTACCTGGGGTTAGTGGTGAAAGCTGCACAAGAGGTTCTGGAGAGAGTCATCATCTGGTCTTTAAAAGAAATAAAGTCAATAAACAGCTACTATTTATGGAGCTCACAAAATGTGCCAGCCATTAAACCAGGCAGTTTAATTTACTTTATTTAAGTTAACACAACTCTGCCATGTATTCACTATTATAAATCTCAATGTACAGACAGGAAAACTAACAGAGAGGTAAAAAAACTGAAGGTCACACAGCCAGAAAGGCTCAGATCACAGACATGATTTTAAGTTTGTCTGACTTCAAAACCCATTCTCCTTATTAGACACCACACTCATTTTGAACAAAGGAAGGTTCAAGAGGTGTGTACCCAGGCAGAGTAGTACAGTCAGCACTATCAACTTTTCCCATCTGTTCCTTCACATCTGCCTCCCAGGCCAGGAAGTATCCTGACATTTTCTTCTGTCTTTTCATTCAATAATAGCAAACTAATGATGTTCCCTTCCTCCACCTTTCCAAACTCATTTTTCTCGGAAGAGATCCTAAGACAAATCACAAAAACACTGATTCCTGTTAAAACAAATCAAAAAAGTAAACCACAACAACAACAACCCTCCAAACACATCTAAAGGATTTCTACTTTCCTCTAGCATTGAGAAGGCTTTGCTACATCCATGATCAGGGCAGCTTGGGACCAAGCGTGGTTTGTGACTTTTTGCACAGCCCATTGCTGGCTTGGATTAGTTAAAAGAACACCTGTACTAATCTGGTCACAGCTTTAGAAGGGTACGTGAACCTTCTCTGAAGAATAGGATGAGCTTAGATGTTAGTAACCTGTAGTAGATACATTAAATATAACATCCACCTCCCCACCAGCCAGAAGCCAAGAGGATAGAAATTTTGACTAGATACCAGGTTTCCAACCCTGAGGCCACAGCTATTTACTAGCTATTGATCAGGTAAAGTGAGCCCATCTATATTTCAGCATTTCTTATGTGCCTTTCTTTGTTTTGAAGGGATCATCGGTAGAATTTTATTTGACCATAACACATAAAAATGCACCTTGGTTTGATTGCTGTTCAAGCCTGATAACTTGAACTAAAGGAGCTCTGTAAGTTTGTTTGTTCACATTCCAAATTTTTGTTGTGGTAAAATACTCATAACATACAATTTACTATTTAACCGTTTTTAAGTGTACGGTACAGTGGTATTAAATACATTTTCATAATGATGTACAACCATCACCACCATCCATCTCTATAATGCTTTTCATCTTGTAAAAATGAAACTCTATACTCATTAAAAAATAACTTCCCATTCTCCCCTCCCCCATCCCCTGGCAACCACCATTCTATTCTCTGTTTTTATAAGTTTGAGTACTCTAAATATCTCAATAAATAGAATTATACAGCATTTGTCTTTCTGTGACTGGCTTATTTTACTTAGCCTAATGTCTTCAAGGTTCATCCATGTTATAGCCTATTGCAGAACTTTCTTTTGAAGGCTGAATAATATTCTATTGTATGGATAATCCACATTTGTTTATCCATTCATCCATAGATGGACTCTTGGATAGCTTCTCCATTTTAGCTATTGTGAATGATGCTGAACACAGGTATATGAATATCTCTTCAACACCCTACTTTCAATTCTTTTGGGTATATACCCAAAAGCAAAATTGCTGAATCATATGGTAATTCTATTTTGAATTTTTCAGGAACCACCAAACTACTTTCTACTCTGTTTGTACCCCTAACATTTACATTCCACTAACAGTGCTTAACATTTCCAATTTCTCCACATCCTAGCCAACACTTGTTATTCTCTGGTTTTTTTGATAGTAGCCATCTTAACGGATGTGAGGTGCTATCTTATAGCTTTGCTTTCCCTAAGGTTTAGTAATGTTGAGCATGTTTTCATGAGCTTATTGAACATTTGCTTATCTTCTTTACAGAAATATCTATTGAAGTCTTTTACCCATTTATGGATAGAGTTACTGGTTTGTTGTTGTTGTTGTTGTTGTCTTAGGAGTACTCAGTATACTCTGAATATTAATCCCTTATCAGATTTATGACTTCCAAATATTTTCTCCCACTCTGTGATTCACCATTTTACTCTGTTGTTAGTGTCTTTTGAAGCACAAAACTTCTACATTTTTGTGAAGTCCAAGTTGTCTATGTTTTCTTTTGTTGCCTCTGCCTTTAGTGTGATATCTAAGAAATCATTGTCAAATCCAATGTCATGAAATATTTACCCTTTTTACTTTTAATAGTTTTATTGTTTTAGATCTTACATTTAGGTCTTGATGATTTTGAGTTAATTTTTGAATATGCTATTAAGTAAGGGCTGAATTCAATAATTATTTTGCATGTGGATATCCAGTTTTCTCAGCATCATTTTTTGAAAAGACTGTTTTTTCCCCATTAAATTGTGTTAGCACCGTTGCCACAAATTATTTGACCATACATGTTAGGGTTAATTTCTAGGCTCTCTATTTGGTTTCTTTGGTTTACTTGTCTATCTTTATGCCAGTACCATGCTTTTCTGATTACTGTAGCTTTGTAGTAAGTCTTAAAGTCAGGAAGTATGAGTCTTTCAGCTTTGTTCTTTATCAAAGTTGTTTCGGCTATTCAGAGTCTGATATATCAAGTTTGGATATTTGTTCCCCACAATGCCATGTTGAAATGTAATCCCCAGTGTTGGAGATGAGGCCTGGTGGGAGGTGTCTGGGTCATGGGGGCAGATCCCTCATGGCTTGGTGCTGTCCTCACCATAGTGAGTGAGGTCTCACGAGATCTGATTATTTAAATGTGTGTGGCACTTCCTGCCTCTCTTTCTCCCGCTCTGCCATATGAGATACTTGCTCCTGCTTCACCTTCCCATAAAAGTTCCTCAAGCCTTCCCCAAAAGAAAAGCAGATGCTGGTGCTATGCTTTCTATATGGTCTGCAGATGGTGAGCCAATTCACCTTCTTTTCTTTATAAATTACCCAGTCTCAGATATTTCTTTATAGCAATGCAAGAACTATCTAATACAGGGTTCCTTGAGATTTCATATTAATTTTAGAATAGATTTTTCTATTTCTGCCCCCCCAAAATTGGGAGTGCTATACTTATTGTATTATATTTTGTCTTCTGTCTATTGTCCATTCCTATGTTTTGCCATTTTCTTTTCTTTTTTTCTTATTGTAGCTCAACTATTTTGCTTAATAACCTTTTGTTACACATATTACAAATATTATTTACAGTGTAATGTTTGACTTTTCACTTTATGACTGTCATTGGAATACAAATAATTTAAATTTCAATGCAGTCAAATGTATTGATTATTTTACTTTGGCTTTCTGGGTCCTTTTAAAAGAAAGAAGATTATGAAAAAAATTGATGATTGGTTGAAAATTAGATATATTAGCAGTCTAGAAAACATTAGAAACACAAAGTAACAAAATAGGAAGAATGAAAGCAAACACACTCATATCATCAAGGTAATGAACTAACATTGATGAATCACCAACGTGCTCTACGGCTTTTAGGTATGTTAAGTTAATTTCACTGACAGTTGATTATCTGACACTTTCAGAAAAGACAGAAAATCTAAAAGGATGATGTGAAAAAGCAGACTGTAACAGTGAGTTTAGGAGCTGGGTGCATGTCTTTGCAGGTGGATGGGGAGGGGTGTGGTCTAAAAGCCACAGTTGCTATCTCCATGGGGCCTGGGGCAGTTGTGAATTGTGAGTGCAGGCTACCTGGAACTTAGCTCACTGCTACTAGTGGAACACTGCCGAAGTGGATCTGACTCACCAAGTGTGTGGGATCTGTGTGGGTCTTACTGGTGCCTGCTACTTCCCACTCCTTGCTTGAACTCTTCTGCGTAGCAAAGGCAGCAACACTCCCTTCTGGAATATCAACCCAGTGGCCTGAGAACTGCACCAATCTCCTGACACCTACAGGGGCTGCTGCTTGCCCTGCACACAGAGAATCAGAGCACAAACCCACATGACACAGCTCCCATGTAGCTTCGCCCCACCACCAGCCCTGATGGCTTAACATGACAGACAGAAACTTCTGGGAGCTATATGACCTCACCCATTGCCTGAGAAAACAGATAACCCATTGGGCAACAAAAGGCAAGCAAACTTCCCACTGCTATTACTGCAGCCGCTGCTGTTTTGCAAGTACCACCTCCTGGCTGGGGGCCAACAAACACAGTCCATTATAGCATCTCCTGGTAGAATAACACTGCATCCAGAAAGGAGAAAACGGCTGCACAATTTTGGCTATCATCACAGCCTTCACCACTCTGGCTAACTAGGAGGTCCTGAGCCTGTCCAAGTCACCATTTCGTTACTACTCCAACTGACATTTGAGAAAGTCAACATACTAAGGCTATCAAAAACCAAAGAATCCCATAGAATCTATGTCATTCCCCTGCCACCCCATTAAAGTTGGTGCTGAAACCCATTGCTAGGAGACTTGAGGACAGGTCACATCATTGGATTCACTGTAGACTTTCTCCAGTACCAATCTAAAGTGTGGCAACCTCACTGGGAGGCTAGGCCCAGAGAAGCAACAACATTTACAGTAGTCTGGCTCCAGGGTCTCCTACTCCTAGGGGAAAGGGGACTGCACCACATCAAAAGAACACCTCATGGGGACAAAAGAATCCAGACAGTAGATCTTCAGCACCAGATCTTTACACTGGTGGGAATTTTCAGCAGAGTCACAGTTGCAGTGATGGGCTTAGCAGGGAAAGTCTGCAACTCTAACTCAACAGTCAGATAGGCCTGGTGTTCATGTGTGAACGGTCTTGGAGACCCTTCTCCCTACATTGTCCACCACAACAGGCACAGCTGAGACTTCTCCCATGGGAGCTTGGTGTGGGTGCAACTATACATGGTCTTTCTGGAACACATCAGGGTGACAACATCCTCACAGGAGGAACATTCTCCAAGTTCAGGCTTGCATGAGAGACAGAGTCACAATTCCTCTCTACTTGGAACATCAATATTTCTACAGTTGTAAAAAGGTGCCTGTTTAATCTGAATAGCTGAACAATGGGACAGGAGTGTGACTGAGAGGTGCATCACTTTCCCACTGACCTGGCAGGAAAGCTGACTAAAGTGGCTCCAAACATTCCCCCTGATAAGACCTCAGTGTGACTCATCAAGAGCTCCTCCAGTCACCTGTTTCAAGGCTTTGACTTCCGTGCATCCTTGGGTATTGAACTTACCCCGCCTGTTTTAGCCAAAACCAGTTTCTACTCAGGGATACCTCAACTACTGGCCTGAAGCCTGAGCCATCAAACTAGTAAATAAAATACTAGGGAAAAATAAATAAATTAAAAAGTCCATGCCATAGGGGAATGAGATAAGCTTCAAGACCTCTACCATTCCAACCCTATAGGAGACAGTAAATTTGCTCACACACCAAGCATATTTTTACTACAATCACATGTGAGAAAGCCATCATACAAAGACTCTCTATAATCAAGGAACTTTTACAGAGTCTTCTCCCCTGAAAGCACCAATAACCAAATTAGGCCATAATTAACTATAAGCATTAAAGTCACATCCTTAAGAGAAAAAAAAGCAAACAGAAAAACAAAGAAAAAAACACATGCAGTCAAATCAAACATAAATTCAAGAATAATTAGAAGACATAGTCTTCCAAAATAAGAAGGAACCAGAAAAGCAACTCTGGTAATATGACAATACAAGGTTTTATCACATGTCCAAAGGATCACACCAGCTCCCCAGCAATGAATCCAAACCATGATGAAATCTTTGAAATACCAAATAAGGAATTCAGAATGGTGATTATTAAGCTATCAGGAGATATCAGGAGATACCAAGGAGGTATCAGAGGAAGGTAAAAACCATCATAAAGAAATTTTAAAAGCAGTTCCGGATATGAAAAAAAAAATTCTAGAGAGACAGAGATCATCAAGAAAAACCAATGAGAACTTCTGGAAATAAAAGTCATACTTAGGGAATTTTAGAATGTACTGGAAAGTTTTAACAATTGACTAGAACAAGTAGAAGAAAGAATTTCAGAGCTCAAAGATAAGGCTTTTGAAATAATCCAATCAGACAAAAATTTTAAAAAATCTAGAGAAATGAACAAAGTTTCCAAGAAATATGAGATTATGTAAAATGGTCAAGCCTACAAAAAGTTAGTGTTCCTAAGCGAGAAGAGAAAACAATGTCTGGAAAATGTACTTGAAGAAATAATTAAGAAAAACATCCTGGCCTGGCTAGAGATGTAGATATTCAAGCAAGAAGCTCAAAGGATTCCTGAAAAACTCATTGCAAAAAGACTTTCAGCAAGGCATATGGTCATCAGGCTATCTAAAATCACCATAAAGGAAAGAAATCTCTAAGAGCACTAACACAAAGCGTCAGGTAACCTATAAAGCAAAATCTTTCAGATTAAAAGCAGACTTCTCAGCAGAAACTTTACAAGCCAGAAGCAACTGGGCTCCTATCTTCAGCCTTCTTAAGCAGAACCACTTTCAGGCAAGAATTTTGTATATGGCAAAACTAAGTTTCATAAATGAAGAAGAAATAAAGCCATTTTCAGACAAACAAATGCTGAGGAAACTCTCATAGTGCTACCAAAACAGCACTACTAGAAATGCCAAACGGAGTTGTAAACCTTGAAACAAAAGTATAATAGGCACCAAAATAGAGCCTCTTGAAAGCTTAAAACTCACAGGGCCTATAAAACAATAGCAAAAAAAAAAAAAAAAAAAAAAAAAAAAAACAACTAGGTAACAATTAACATGATGAATGGAAAAATAACTGACATTTCAAGGTTCACATTAAATATAAATGACCTAAATGCTCCACTTAAAAGATACAGAATGGTAGAACTGATCAAAAATCAAAAACCAATTATCTGCTATCTTTAAGAGATTCACTTAATATGGAAGAATTCATATAAACTCTAGGCAAAGGAATGGAAAATGATACTCCATGCAAATGGAAACCAAAAGAGTGCAGGAGTAGCTACTCTTATATCGGACAAAACAGACTTCAAAGCAGCAACAATAAAAAAGAACAAAGAAGGTCATTATATAATAAAAGTATCAATTCAACAAGGCAATACTACAATCTTAAATTTATATACACCTAACACTACAGCTCTCAGATTCATAAAACAATTACTACTAGACCCAAGAAATAAGATATATAGCAACACAATAATAGTGGGACATTTCAATATAACACTGATAGCACTAAACAGATCATCAAAGCAGAAAGTCAAAAAAGAAACAACAGACTTTAATGGCATTCTAGAACAAATGGACTTAACAGATATTTACAGAACAGTCTTCCCAAGAACTGCAGAATATACATTCTTGACATTAGCATGTTAAAGTCTCCAAGAGGGACATATGATAGGCAAAAAATAGGTCTCAATAAATTTTTAAATATCAAAATTGTATCAAGTATCATATCAAACCACAATGGATTAAAACTAGGAATCTACTTCAAAAGGATCCCTCAAAACTACACAAATACATGCAAATTAAATAATCTGCTCCTGAATTATTTTTGTGTTAACAATGATATCAAGATGGAAATTCTCTGAAATGAATAATAATAATGACAGAAGTTATCAAAACCTCTGGGAGACAGCAAAATCAGTGCGAAGAGGAAAGTTTATAGTGCTAAATGTCTGCATCAAAAAGTCTGAAAAAGCAAAAATTGGTAACCTAATATCTCACTTTGAGGAACTAGAGAAATAAGAACAAACTAAACCCAAAGCTTGCAGAAGAAAAGAAATAACAAAGATCAGAAAGCTAAATGAAATTCAAACAAAAAAGATACAAAAGATCAATGAAACAAGAAGCTTCTCTTTGAAAAAATAAACAAAATAGATAGACCATTAGATAGATTAACCAAGAAAAGAAGAGAGAAGATTCATATAAGCTCAATTACAAATGAAACTGGAGAGATTTCAACTGACAATACAGAAATGTAAAGATCATTCAAGACTACTATGAACACCATTATGCATGCAAACTAGAAAACCTACAGGAAACTGATAAATTCCTGGGACTGTACAATGATGCTAGATTAAATCAGGAAGAAATAGAAACCCTGAACACACCAATAACAAATAGCAAGATTGAATCAGTAATTTAAAAATTGCCAAAAACAACAAAAAAGCCTAGGAGCAGATGAATTCACAGCTGAATTCTACCAGACATTCAAAGAATTGCTATCAATCCTATTGCAACTATTCCAAAAGATTAAGAAAAAGGGAATCTTCCCTAAATCATTCTATGAACCAAGTATCACACTGATACCAAAGCCCAGAAAGGACACAACAACAACAACAACAACAAAACTGCAGGCCAATATCCCTGATGAACATAGATGCAAATATCTGCAACAAAATACAAGCTAACAGAATTCAACAGCACATCAAAAAGGTAATACATCACTATCAGGTGGGTTTCATCTCAGGGATTCAGGGATAATTTAGTATACACAACTCAATAAATGTGATACATTCCATAAACAGAATTAAAAATAAAAATGATATAATCATCTCAAAAGATGCAGAAAATGAATTTGACAAAATCCAACATCCTTTATGATAAAAACCCTCAACAAACGAGGCATAGAGAGGACTTATCTCAAAATAATAAAAGTCATTTATGACAAACCCACAGACAACATCATATTGAATAGAAAAAAGTTGAAAGCATTTTCCCTGAGAACAGGAACAAGACAAGGATGTCCTCTTTCACCACTGCTAGTCAATATATTTGTGGATATCCTAGCCAGAAAAAATTAGGCAAGATAAGGAAAAATTATGCAAGAGAAGGCATCCAAATTGGAAAAGAGGAAGTCAAACTATTGCTATTTGCAAATGATATGATCATATACCTAGAAAATCTTAAAGATTGCTCCAAATAACTACTAGATTTGATAAACACACTCAGTAAAGTTTCAAGACACAAAATTGATGTACACAAATCAGTACCAATGCTGTATACCAATGATGGCAAAGCTGAGAAGCGAATGAAAAACATAATCCCTTTCACAACAGATCCAAAAAATAAAATAAAATACCTAGGAATATACATAACCAAGGAGGTAAATGATCTCTACAAGGAGAACTACAAAATATTTCTGAAAGAAATAATAGACAACAGAAACAAATGGAAATACAACCCATGCTCATGGATAGGAAAAAACAATATTGTGAAAATGGCTATACTGCCCAAACACATCTATAGATTCAATGCAATTCTCATCAAAACACCATATCACTTTTCACAGAGTTAGAAAAAAAAATCCTAAAATTTATATGAAACCAAAAAGAGCCTAAACAGCTAAAGCAATCATAAGCAAAAAGAACAAATCAGGAGGTATCACATTACCAGACTTCAAATTATACTACAAGGCTATAGTTGCCAAAACAGCAGGTACCAGTATAAAAATAGGCATATAGACCAATGGAACAGAATAGAGAACCCAGAAAAAAGCCAAATATACTTGCAGCTAACTGATTTTCAACAAAGCACACAAAAACTTAAATTGGGGAATGGACACCCTGTGTAATAAATGGTTCTGGGAAAGCTGGCAAGGTACAAGTAGAAGATCCTCATATCTCATCTTATACAAAAATAGGCTCAACATGGATCAAAAACTTAAATATAAAGACCCAAAAGCATGAAAATTCTAGAAGTCTGTATTACTCTGTTTTCATGCTGCTGATAAAAACATACCCGAGACTTTTACAAAAGAAAGAGGTTTAGTGGACTTACAGTTCCACATGGCTGGGGAGGCCTCACAAACATAGCAGAAGGCAAGGAGGAGCAAATCACGTCTTACGTGAATGGCAGCAGGCAAAGGGAGAGCTTGTGCAGGAATATTCCCATTTTTAAAACCATCAGATCTCGTGAGACTCATTCACTACCACGAGAACAGCGTGGGAAAGACCCATCCCCATAATTCAATCACCTCCCACCAGGTTCCTCCCACGATATGTGGGAATTGTAGGAGTTACAATTCAAGATGAGATTTGGGTGGGGACACAGCCAAACGATATAATTCTGTCACTGGTCCCTCCCAAATCTCATGTCCACACATTTGAAAACCAATCATGCCTTCCCAACAGTCCCCCAAAGTCTTAACTCTTTTCAGCATTAACTCAAAAGTCCACAGTCCAAAGTTTCATCTGAGACAAGGCAAGTTCCTTCCACCTATGAGCCTGTAAAATCAAAAGAAAGTTAGTTACTTCCTAGATCCAATGGGGATACAAGCATTGCATAAATATAGCCATTCTAAATGGGAGACATTACCCAAAATAAAGGGGCTATAGGCTCCATGAAAGTCTGAAATCCAGGAGGACAGTCAAACCTTAAAGCTCCAAAATGATCTCTTTTGACCCCATGTCTCACTTCCATGTCATGTTGATGCAAGAGGTACGTTCCTATGGTCTTGGGCAGCTTCACCCTGGTGGCTCTGCAAGGTTCAGACTCTCACCTGGCTGCTTTCATGGGCTGGTGTTGTTTCTGTAGCTTTTCCAGGCACATAGTGCAAGCTGTCAGTGGATCTGCCATTCTGGGATCTGGAAGACGGTGATCCTCTTCTCACAGCTCCACTAGGTGGTGCCCCAGTAGGGACTCTGTATGGGGGCTCTGACTCCACATTTCCCTTCTGCACTGCCCTAGCAGAGGTTCTCCATGACAGCTCCACTCCTGCAGCAAACTTCTGCATGGACATCCAGGCATTTCCATACATCCTCTGAAATCTAGGCAGAGGTTACCAAACCTCAGTTCTTCACTTCTGTGCACCAACAGGCTTAACATCACATGGAAGGATTGGGGCTTGCACCCTCTAAAGCCATGGCCTGAGCTGTACCTTGGCCCCTTTTAGTCAAGCTGGAATGGCTGGAACACAGGCCACCAAGTCCCTAGACTTCACACAGCATGAGGACCCTGGACCTGGCCCATGAAACAATATTTTCCTCCTAGGCCTCTGGGCCTGTGATGGTAGGAGCTGCTGTGAAGACCTCTGATATGTCTTGGAGACATTTTTACTATTGTCTTGGGGATTAACATTTGGCTTCTCGTTATTTAGGCAAATTTCTGCAGCTGGCTTGAATTTCTCTGAGAGAATGGGATTTTTTTTTTTCTATCACATTGTCAGGCTGCAAATTTTCCAAATTTTCATGCTCTGCTTCCCTTATAAAACTGAGTGCCTTTGACAGCACCCAAGTCACATATTGAATGCTTTGCTACTTAGAAATTTCTTCTGCTGGATACCCTAAATAATCTCTCTCAAGTTCAAGGCTTCCACAGATCTCTAGGGCAGAGGCAAAATACCACCAGTCTCTTTGTTAAAACATAACAAGAGTCACCTTTTCTGCAGTTCCCAACAAGTTCCTCATCTCCATCTGAGACCACCTCAGCCTGGACCTTATTTTTCATATAACTGCTGGTATTTTTGTCAAAGCCACTCAACAAGTCTCTAAGGAGTTCCAAACTTTCCCACATTTTCCTGTCTTTTCTGAGTCCTCCAACCTGTTCCAACCTCCACCTACTACCCAGTTCCAATGTTGCTTCCACATTTTGGGAAACTTTTCAGCAGCCCCCATTCTACTGATACCAATTTACTGTATTAGTCTGTCCTCACACTGCTGATAAAGACATACCTGAGACTGGGCAATTTACAAAAGAATGAGGGTTATTGGACTTACAGTTCCACATGGTGGGGGAGGCCTCACAATCATATCAGAAGGCAAGGAAGAGCAAGTCATGTCTTATGTTGATGGCAGCAGGCAAAGAGAGAGCTTGTGCAAGGAAACTCATTTTTAAGACCATCAGATCTCATGAGACTCACTCATTATCATGAGAACAGTGCAGGAAAGATGCACCCCCATAATTCAAGCACCTCCCACTGGGTTCCTCCCAAGACCTGTGGGAATTTAGGGAGTTACAATTCAAGATGAGATTTGGGTGGGGACACAGCAAAACCATATCAAAGACAATGTTGAAAAAACTCTTCTAGATATCAGCCTAGGCAAATAATTTGTGACTAAGATCCCAATAGCAAATGTGGCAAAAAGAACTGTAAATAAATGTGACCTAATTAAACTAAAAAGCTTCTGCACAGCAAAAGAAATAATAATCAGAGTAAACAGAAAACACAGAGAATGATATAAAATATTTGCAAACTACACATCTGACTAAGGACTAGTATCCATAATATATAAGAAACTCAAACAAATCAGCAAGGAAAAAAAACAAATAACCCTGTCAAAAAGTGGGCAAAGTACATGAATAGACATTTCTCAAAGGAAGATATGCAAATGACCAAAAACCATATGAAGAAATGCTCATCGCCACTAATCATCAGGGAAATGCAAATGAAAACTACAATGAGATACCATCTTACTCCTGCAAGAATGGCCATTATTAAAAAGTAAACAAACAAACAAATAATAAATACTGGCATGGATATGGGGCAAAGGGGATGCTTATACACTGATAGTGGGAATGTAAATTATTACAAACATCATGGAAAACAGTATGGAGATTCCTTAAAGAGCTAAAAGTAGATCTATCATTTTATTCAGTAATCCCATTGCTGGGTATTGACCCAAAGGAAAAGAAGTCATTAATGAAAGAGATGCTCGCACATACATGTTTATAGCGGCACAATTCACAATTGCAAAGATATTGAACTAACCTAAGTTCCCATTAACTAATAAGTGGATAAGAAAAAATGTGGTATATATACACCATGGAATACTACTCAGCCATAAAAACGTAGTGAAATAATGTCTTCTGCAGCAACTTGGATGGAGCTGAAGGCCATTATTCTAAGCAAAGTAACTCAGGAGGGAAAAACCAAAAAACATATGTTCTTACTTATAACTGGGAGCTAAGCTATGAGTATGAAAATGCATATAGAGTGATACGAGACTTTAGAGAATTAGAATGGGAAGCGTGGGAAGGGGACTAGGGATTAAAAAAAAAACTGTATATTAGGTACAATGTTCACTATTTGGGTGATGGGTACACTAAAATGTCAGAATTTACCACTATATAATACATCCATGTAACAACAACAAAAAAAAACCACTTGTACACTAAAAGTTCTTGAAATAATTTTTTTTAAAAAAGAAAAGATTATGATATGGGACAACATGTTTATAATATTGTGGAATGGTTTCATCTATAAAATGCTAACATCTGACAGATGGTTCAGGATTTGTTGCTTCCTAGGTTTTTACTAACATTTAAGGTTACTAAGAATAATAATTCTAGTTAATATATAATTCTGTATGTTATGTTCTTAATGACAAAAAATGTCTACTTTGGTGGTTATTTAAAAGCTAATTACTAAAGAAGGTAAAAAGAAACTGGTCAGTAGAGGAGAGAGATGTGAAAGTAGTTATGGATATAAAAATGTATTTTTTGGTAAGAACAGATAAAAAGAAAATAGAATAATTTTGTATAATAAAGGATTTCATATGGTAAATTTGTGTCCTAATATAAAATAATAGATTGTTAAGGAAAGAGGGAAGTATAGGACAAGTCAGAAAATCCAAACATGTCATAGATGGTCTGCGTAGGTTGTGATAAACTTCATGAAGAAAATTTATAAAAGGAATTGTGTGTGTGATTCAGTTAGCTATAATTAAAATTAAATTATTTATAAAAGCATTTCTACACATTGGTCTTCTATTTTAAAACAAGGTTTTCTTAAGGTATTGATTTGCTTTTAATGAAATTACAGCTTTTGCATTTTAGTTCTATAACCTATTTCTTTTTAAAACTTCTCAGATTCATATCTTAGAAGTTGAACTTTTGTTGTGTCTCACTGCTGTCAGCTCTTTTTCTCTTTGGAAAAACCTGAGATGACAACTCTCTTTCAGTTCTTTGTCAGCTCCTGTAACATTTTTCTCCAGGTCTAACAGTTGTTATGGCCTAATGCTGAAATGTTTTTATCATGAAGGTAAAATAAAAAGGAGTGTTTTCCTCCAGTATAATTTCCTCCAGTATAATTGATTCTGTACTCTTGACTTTTCTTGATATGTCTAAATTTTTCAATATAATCAGGAAACGTCTTCTGCTGTTCCTAGGAGTCAGGTATTTCCCTGACGTACTTATAACTTTGAAAACAATCTTCCAGTATGTGATTAAATTCAAGCACTTTTTTTCATCAAGTCTGACTTTCAGATTATCTAAATGGGCTTCTCATAAGAAAAAGCAGTCACACTGCAGAAGGTTTTTCTTTGCCTTTTTTGTAACTGGTTTAGAAATAACATTTTATGTTTTACCAAGATAATTCCTACATTGTCTTATTAGGTGTTTGATTGTTTAGAAAAACTGAGCTTTAAAATAATTCAAATTTTTTTCAATCCATGTAACCTTCTGTACTGCTTTTAAAGTCTTTTGATTATCACTTTGGTTAAATGAGTAACTATAATTTTACAACGAGCTTTTTAACATCTTTGACAAAAAATCCTAAATTAAGTCTCTGACTTATTGCTGGGGGTTATCAAAGCTACAAAAGTTAATCACCAAAAGGTTGTAGAATCTTTTTACAGCTTCCAATCATATCGTGGATTTCAGTAGCACCACCCCCAGCCCCTTGCAATTGTCATTATCAGGTGCTATTAACTAATCCATGTGCTGTTAAATTACATGGTTCTGACTGCTGGTGTAACCACTCAATAAGTTCACCTTGTCTGCTGCCTAGACAGAGATAATTTATCAAGACAGGGGAATTGCAACAGAGAAAGAGTAATTCGGGCAGAACCGGCTGCGTGGGAGACCAGAATTTTATTATAACTCAAATGAGTCTCCCTGAAAACTTGGGGATGGAAGTTTTCAAGGATAATTTGGTGGGTAGGGAGCCAGTGAATCAGGTGTGAAATCATAGGAAGTCTAAACTGTCCTCTTTGCAGTGTCAGCTCCTGAGTGGGGGCCATAAGACCAGATGAGAAAGTTTATCAATCTGGATAGTGCCAGCTGGTCCATAGAGTGCAGGGTCTACAAAATATACCAAGCACTGATCTTAGGTTTTGCAATAGTGATTTTATCCCCAGGAGCAATTTGAGGAGTTTAGAATCGTGCAGCCTCCAGCTGCATGACTCCCAAACCATAATTTCTAATCTTGTGGTAAATTTGTTAGTCCTGCAAAGGCAGTCTAGTCCCCAGGCAGGAAGGGGATTTGTTTTGGGAAAGGACTTCTCCTCCCAAAGTTAGTTCAGATTATGACTCTGAATGAACAAGAACATTTTGGAGGTTAGAGGCAAGATGGAGTCAGCTAGTTCATATCTCTTTCATTATAATAATTTCCTCAGTTATAATTTTTGCAAAGGTGATTTCACTGGGAATACATATCTTGTCGCAAGAAGGCAATGACTCCTGCCAATATCTGACACCAAACGTAAGTTAACCAAAGCCTCATCTTTAGACCCAAGGAAAGGCAACAATCAAAGTAACTGCCTTCATGAGATGCAGGGAAAGGACTGTACTCCAAAACATTAAGATTCATGTAATAATTTTTCCTCTATGTGAATTAATATAGTTTATTCTATGTGTTGATACTAAATAATAGAAATGTTTAACTACCTATGAGCTTCCTTTCTTGTCATTTTCAAAACTAGACAGAGCTTATGACATTTTTGTTTGAAACACTGCTAATTATTTGTTTTGTTTTGCCTCCAGAGTTTAAAATTATTCAATCCCTCCAGGCCCAGGTACTGTCACATGAGACTGTAAGGGCTGGTTTCAAGAAATAAAATTAGGTAAAATCCTCCAAATCAAGAATAGGCACACCGTTGCCTAAACAGCTGAACAAAATGCTTGTGTTTTGTATAGGTAATTGCTGCAAGCCAAGATTACAGTAGTTCAGTGTATAGAAATTACAAATAAGTCCATTTTATAACTTTGTCTTTTGGCTTTTGGTTTTTGTCTCTTATGTTGCTTAAAAGGGGTTTTAAAGGTTAATGAGTGCCTCTCCGCTTCCATTCTCATTTGGCCCAGAACATTCAATTGGCTATAAATCTTTTGACTCTAAGCCCCTGAGCCAGAGGAGGTCCCACCCAGGGACATGATGGACCCGAGGCAGGTGGCATACTACTCCAGCATTGATATGGGACAACATAAAAGCATGGCCATTATACTGCTTCTGGCATACCTTGATAAAAAGGGGGTATATAAACTAAAAAATAGAACTTTAAGCCTCTCAACGAAGGAGGAATTCAGGCAAAATTGGTCTTTGGAATGCAGGCAAAATTGACCAGCATTCACATTAAAGTAGAGATCATAAGACTGACAGAATGAATTCTTTATGACAATAAGATACCAAATTATAAACAGAACCTAGGACTATGCCAGGAAAACGCTATGTCTCTATCCCAAAGTAAGCAGATCATATGTTACATTCACGTTTTTTCAATATGCATGAGTCAGGACCCCTTTATAAATATTCATACATCCTCCTATAACCTGTTAAATATGCATGTTTAGCCAACCTGTCATCATATCCCCACAGGAGCCCCAGGTATAAATGACAGTGGGGAATAAAGTAACTTATTTCTTAATCAATATTAGGGCTATTTATTCAGCTTATAACATCCCAAAAGCAAAAAATACTAAAATTCAAGAGAAATACAGCAAAAGGTTTTTTTTAAAAAAAACCTTTGGAATGTTGGCTGGGGGACTTGAAATTAAGAAATAATATTCTCTGTATGCCAAAATGTCCAATTTCTCTGTTGGGATGAGAGTTGCTTTGCAAGCTAAATGATCAAGTGACTTTTCCTCCAAGGAAGCAGCAATTTGTCTTACAGATTCCACCAGAACAGGGACTGCAATTTCAGTCCCTTACTCACCCCAAGGAAGGAAAGGAAGAACTCTTCCCTCCAGAAGTCTATGAACAATTTTCTGTTTCCATGTCCTCATACCCCATGGATGAGCCCTGTTGCCCAGGAAATAAGGTGCTACTAAAATCCTGGAGAAACCAAGAGCAGACAAAGAGCTAGCCAAAAAGTAAACACCCTTCTCCCTGAAGAAAACTTGCAGATTAGCCAAATGGTCCTACAAAATGTATGGCCTTAGATATCCTGACTGCAGCCCAAGGCAACACTTGTGCACTGATTAAGACTGAGTGTTGTGCATATATATACACCAGATTGTTTTCACAATATAACCCAAGTTATGCATGCATTAGATATCTCTGTTTCTGCTATAGATACCTTCTCCCAGGACCCCGTAACAGCATGGTTCAGCTAACTTCCTAATGCATGGAAGACTTTCATATACTGTGTGATTGGTACTCTGCTGATTGTTCTCCTTGGCTGCTGTGGACCTTATTACCATTATATATTTTGTATGGAGGTGCAGGACAGATTATCTCAAAAGCTCCTACATCCTAGTACCATAATGCTCCAGCAAGTCCCTATTGTGAATCTGGAAACTCTGGAATATGCCTAACTACAGGTAAATAGATTCCATTCTGATACACCCTACCCATGCTCCTTTTCAGAAAGAAATAGCAAGATTTACCGCATCACCTACTTTCCATAGAAAAGGAATGGAATTTGACAGTGAGAAACCCATAACCAAGTATCCCAGTAAAAAATGCATTTTGAGGCTTTTTCCCCGTTTCTTGCTTTCAGCCTTGAAACATACTTTGAAACTCTTCGTTTCTCCTTTCCCACCAGGTACTTATGTGAACAGTTCTCGCTAATCTAATTATGTGCTTGCTTAGAAGTTGCAGGGACCAGTTTTGAAACAAAACCAAATTGAGAGACCCAGCTGCAGAATTCTCCCAATTGGGGGAAATTACTAGCAAGCCACCACCACCGGGTAAAAATCAGGATAACACAAACCTGACCCCTGGATGGGCGGTTACTTACGATAATCATCAGAATGAGACAGGCATACCTGCACCCTCCTGCACTTGCCAAGTGTGTGTTTCCCACACGTTTTCCTTCTGAAACCCCTTCACTCAGCCCGAGAGACAGAGATGGCTTCTTTGAGGCAGAAGCTTGGTTATCTCCCATCTGCTAGCATTTGATCAATAAAGTTGTTTTCCTTTCACCACACCTTGCTTCTTGTGTTTTCATTCTGAGAGGTGAGCAGTCAGACCTGAGCCTGTTACAAAAGGAAACTTCCTTCAACTCCTCCAACCATGGGTAAGGCCTGACTCTATCCACCACCCATCTCAGCACCGTTTCTTTCTCTGAAGAAAAAGCTGTTTGGATCCATCTGACTTTAGTCAGGTTGCAGGCTGAGAGGAAGAAAAACCACCATGAGGAGGGTGGGGGTTAGAAGATCAAGAGGCCATGAGAAAAGGGAAAAGGAGAGAGCAGTCACAGAGGAAGGCTCTCTTATGCCTAACTGAGGTGGATGCAGTGTGGATGACAGCAGACAGAGGACATAAAGTAAAGAATCGTTTCTGCCATTCTCAGGATTTTGTGTACATGCCTGACTGTCTAATGATAAGACCCCTGAGGATGGACTCTCTGCCTAGCTTTTGTTTCAATATCTTGTAAAAATGCTTCCAGATTTGACGAAGTATCTGCAGAGACTATAGAAGAAATAGCATCTGATTGTGTAACTCTTTTGTTGTTGTTAGTCTGATAAGACACACAGCCTGCAGTACGTGAAGTGAAGCAATATTTTCACCACACAGCAGGCTGTTTCAGAAAAACCCTTCATTTCAAGTGTGCACCTGGCTTGGTCTGTGGAACTGACCAAGGTATAGGTATAAGTCTTAGGGGAGGGCAACCAGCCTGATGGAGGGCAATGAACCAATTTTTTTCCTCAAGCTTTGTTAAACTTATGCATTAGAAAGAACTATGCAAATGAAGAGAGACTTCAACTTCAGAAAAATGACCCTTAATAATAATAAAAATAATAATAAACAATGGATGACACCAAAGGAACATGCGTCTTTTCTTCTATGCAACTTCTGTGTTCCTGTAAAGGTAGGTGTAAATTAAATACATTTTTAAAAGAAAAAAGTATTTTCCTTTTTTCATTTAAACTTTTCATTGAACCATACATATACAAAAAAACTATGCACATTGCTAGTGCCAAGCTTAATGAATCATTCAAACTAAATATACCTGTGTAGCTGGAACCCAACTCATGAAACAGAATATGGCACATTCTCCAGAGGCTCCCATGTCTCCATCTAGTCACTACCTAGCTGCCTCAAAAGAAACTCACCACTGTGCTGACACCTAATACCACAAACTGGTTTTTGTGTTTTGAACCTGAGAGAAACAGAAATACATAATATATGTTCGTCCTTGTTGTCTGGCTTCATCACTCAATGCAATGTTTGTGTGTAGTTTTAGATGCTTCCTTCTTATTACAGTATAGCATTCCACTACATGAAAACCACAGAATCCTACTAATCTAATATCTATTTTGCTACTTTATTATATCCCTCCTATTATTGGAAATTTTAGTTTCCAGTTGGGGAATTTTAAGAATGGTGTTGCAATGACCATAGCTACACAAATCTTTTTTTGAGTCTAAGGGTATATTTTTCTCCACTACACACCTAGGAACCCATACCTAGGAATGAAATAAAATTTGGGTTTTTTTAATATATATACACAGACACATATATACACACATATATAATCTATATATATAGATATACACACACATATATATTTCTATATATAATCCATATATAGATATACATACTCACATATATATTATATAGATATACATACACACACATATTATATATTTATATTATATATTACATATATATGATATATACTATTATATATTGCACATATAATATATAATAGGCTTATATTATATATTATGTGTATGTATATCTATATATGCATATGTACATGTGTACACATATTATTAAATATATAATATGCTTAATATATAACACATATGTTTTATATATTATATACATGCATATGTATATCTATATATGTATGTATAGGTATACATATAATATATAATATATATAATGTATAATATATGTGTGTATGTATATCTATATAATATATATTATATATAATTATAGAATATAGATTATAGTATAGAATATAAAATATAACATATGTGTATATATATACCTATATAGATGGATTACATGTGTGTATATAGATATGTACACAAACATACTTAGCTTTATTTGATATTGCCAAACTGTTTTTGAAAATGCAAAATTTTAGGCATACACATTTCTGGGATAATTTTGACCCATTTCACAAATTTTAAGATTTTTTAAAATTTGTTTCTTTTAAAATCAATACTCAAAACAAACTGGGAGGTTACGGACATAACATTGTTTTATATCTTGATTGTGGTGGTGATTAGATGTGACTACACGCTTGTTAAAACTTGTAGAAATGTATTACAAAATGGTGAGTTTTATTTTATGAATTAGTTTATTGATTACCCAGTTGAGGAATATTTGGTTATTTCCTCTCTTGTCAATTACAATAACAGTTTTATGCTGCTATAAATATCCACATCGGGTATTCGTGTCGACATATGCTTTCATTTCTTTAGGGTAAGTACATACAAATGGGATTTCTGGGTCATACGGGAATGTACATTTATCTTCATAAGTAATTGACAAGTTATTTTCTACAGCAGCTGTTCCATTTTGCATTCCCAAAAGCAATATATGAGAGTTCCAGTTGCTTAGCATACTTACCACCACTTGGTATTGTCAAGTTTTGTTTTCTTTGTTAGTTTTAGCCATGCTAAGGGGTATGCAGTGGTTTTCATTTGAATTTTTCTAATGACTAATGAGATTGACATCTTTTAATGTGCTTATTTTCTGTCCATATACCTTCTTTGGTAAAGTGTTTGCTCAGATCTTCTGCCCATTTTCTATTGGGTTGTTTGTTTCCGTATCATTATGTTTTGAGAGTTCTTTGTCAGATGTATGATATGCAGATATTTTCTGCCAGTCTGTGACTTGTCTTCTCATTCTCTTAACAAATGATTTTTGCAAAGCAAAAATATTTTATTTTGAAGAAGTCAAATTTATCAGTTTTCTTTCTTTTTCTTTTTTTTTTTTTTTTTTTTTGAGATGGAGTCTGGCTCTGTTGCCCAGGCTGGAGTGCAATGGCACGATCTCTGCTCACTGCAACCTCTGCCTCCTGGATTCAAGCGATTGTCCTTCCTCGGCCTCTCGAGTAGCTGGGATTACAGGAGCCCACCACCACGCCTGGCAAATTTTTGCATTTTTCATAGAGACGGGGTTTCGCCATGTTGGCCGGGTGATCTCAAACTCCTGACCTCAGGCAATCCGCCCACCTCGGCATCCCAAAGTACGGGGATGATAGGCATGAGCCACTGTGCCTGGCCCAGTTTTCTTTTTTATAGATCATAGTTTTGGTGTGTTGTTCTTATCTAAGATCTCTTTGCCTAACCTAAGGGCATAAAATTTTTTCTCTTATGTTTTATTTAAAATCTTTATAGTTTCATATTTTAAAATTAGACTTATAATTCATTTTGAATTTTTCACATAAAGAATATAGATTGAAGTTCCATACATATATATGCAAACGTTAAATTTTTCCACCACAATTTATTATAAAAATTTGTTCTTCCTCCACTGAATTTCCTTCACACTATTGTCAAAAATCAATTGGCCATATTTCTGCACGCCTATTTCTGAACTTTCTGCTCTGTCTCATTTATCTATCTATGCATCTTTTCTCCAGTCTACCCTGCCTTGATTGTTATAGTTAGGTTATATTATAGTTAAGATTCATAGTATGTATTAAAATTAGGCAATGTAAGTCCTCTAACTTTATTCTTATTTCAAAGTTATTTTGGCTATACTGGGCTCTTGCCCTTTTCATGTAAAATTTGAGACTAGCCTATGGATATCTATAAAAAATTCTTATGGAATTTTAATTGAGATTGCATTGAATCCGTAGATCAATTTTTGGGAACTGACATCTTAAATATATTGCATCTTCCAGTCCATGAACACAATATATCTTTCCACTTATTTGTGCCTTCACTGATAACTTTTATGAGTCTTTCGTACTTTTCAGCATAGAGATCTTGCATAAATTTTATTAGATTTATATTTCAGTATTTCCTTCTCCTTGGTGATATTTTAAACTGCTCTATTTTTACTTTTCGTATCCAATTTTTCATTATTAGAATATAGAATTCTTGCTGATTTTTTTGTATATTGACAACGTGTGCTAAGTCTTGCTAAACTTATTTACCCATTGTAGCAAAAGAGAGGAGAGAGAAAAAGGAACTGACCAGAGCTTGGGAAGAATTCTCATTTAGAGACGGGAAGAACTCTCATTTAGAGATGGGAAAAAAGAAGCAACCCTGAAAAAGACAGAAAATGAATGGAGATAGGAACACAATCAAGAGAAAGTGGCACCATTTCATATTCCCCCAACCCAGTCTTTCACCAAAGTCTTGAAAAGCTTGGAATCTCTTTTATAAGGCATTACTCATTTATACCTTATTCCACTCCAATTTTACTTAGTATCTTTAAATTCTACCCCTCTACTTACCCTTCCTCCAAAAGTGTTAATTCCTCTTTTGAGGCCAGGGGAAAAGCCTTAAACACTGACTCATGGGACAAAAATCATCTCATTCTTTGACCCTCTACCTCTCCCTAAGTATTTTCCTACAATTTTTACAGTATTGGAACAAGCCTGACTATTTTCATTTAATAAACACATATTCACCATTTGTTATGTATAAGCCACTCAGCAGGAGGCTGTGGATAGGAGAGATGCAGAGCAGGAATAACATTCAAAATATCCAGCAACTTGGCCAACATGGGCTCTGGCAAAGCCATAGCTGGGCCAGGACCCTGGAGAAACTGCTGTTCCAGGTGTAAACCTTGTAGTTATTTGAATAAGGTGACGTGAGGGATGCTGGAGGAAGGGGACAGGGAGTTCTCTGTGGAGGGCTTGGGGCAGTGGCTATCTACCAAATGATATGGACATATTGTAGGGGATAGGGGACTGACATATCCCTATCCCCAGTGATCCTGGGAACTCGGGAGTTCATAGCAGTTGCACTCAGCAAGACAATACATGAACTAATGATTACAATATCGTGCAGTCATAAGAGAAAAAATTTTAGGATCTTCTAATTTTATTACACCAAGGAGGAAATTGAGCCCCGGAGACTGAGTCATATAGCAGGTTTGCAACTTCTCATTATTGGATTATAGATTAACTCTCTTTCTCATTGTTCTTGTTCTGTAAATGACTATGAGAGACTGGAGACCACACCTCTTCCCCTTCCAATCACTGATCTTTGTTACAGATTAACTGTCTCCTTTATTTTCCTGTACCTTACTCAAACCAGGTGGTGCAAACGACCCCATGACTGTTACATCTTCAATGTAGATGTTAAATATACCTTTCCAAAAAAAAAAAAAAAAACTACCTGAACTAATCAGATTGTTATAACTATGCATTCAAACATATATAGAAAGATGCTGAATTTCTGTTATGCTTTCCTAAATTTGGTCTCTATAAAGGACCCCAAACTTCTATACCTTTGTAATCTGTGTTTCCTGAGTGGCTGTCCTCAAACTTTATGTTTGAACAAACATAAACTCACTTTACACTAGATTCTGATCCTTTTGATTATTTCGTCTTGGTTACAGCGTCTAATGAGCCCTGAGAGGGCACAAGGGAAATTTAATGGAGATTTGGAGAGGTGGAGATCACTTATTTTGGGAAGGAGAATAAGAACATTTGAGTTGAATTCCAAAAACAGGTGTATTTAGGTGTGAAAGCAGAAGCAGTGAAAATGAAGGGCATAGATTAAGTAAAAGTCAAAAGGCAGAAATGCACTGTTTGCCTGTTACAAAGGAGCTCAGAAAGAGTAACAAGAAATAAGATGGCAGGTAAAACAATAAGGAAAAAGGAATGAACAAATTGTGGGGGTGGAGATAGATTCTTTTGAGATTCATGAATATGTCATAGAATTTTCTAGCTAAAAAGGGGCTTAGAGACCCTAAAGGCCAATCTTGCAAACTTTTGGTGGTAAAAATGGGGAAACTGAGGCCCAGAGGAAGGAGTATGTTAATATCAGGGGCCCGGAATTCTCATTTCAGAGCTTTCTCCCGCAGGTCTCATTTCTCTCCTCTTCTTCTGGTTTTTACAGTGCAAAATAAATAAATGCCTGTAAGCAGTAGCTGCTGATGAGGAGGCTTTGATTTTTTATTTCTTCCCCAGAGGGCTGGCATAGTGCCTTACTTCCTAAAGATGCATTCAAATAGATCATACTCCTCAAGTTCCTGCTTTCTCTTCAGGTGTTTTAATAAAACTGAGAACAGTAAGCGGATGCTCTGGTCTCTCTGCCCCTCCATAGCTAGCTGGAGCTTTTTCCTTCTATGAGGCAATAGTAGCACCGCTTAGCTCTCCGTTGAAAGATTCAAATGCAATACACGTTATATAAGCTCTCTTTTTCTCTACTCATCTTGTCAGGTATGACACAAAGCTCTCATCCTGAAGGGTTTTCTCCCTTTCCCTTGCTCCTACTTCTACATTAGATGTGTTTCTTATTAAGCTGCATTCTCTTCCAAGATATTGTTGGAATTCATTTTACTTCCATTTTTTCATCTCTTCTGTCAGTCAAGAGGAAAACAGATAAAAAGGCTGCTCTTAGAACAAATTCAAAATCTCACAGTTTTGAACTCACTTACTGTTCATCTCCTCCTGAGGATTTTCTACTTGATGGACAGTAATCATAGTCTAGGACCCAATAACAGAACCGACTGAAATTTTTACCAAACCTTTCTCTAATTTTACTATTCTAACTGTCTAACATATAATTTTTCTGGACACAAGCTTTTAACCTATTTTATACCCTTCACAACATAGTTTTATTTTTTAAATATTGTTTCATATTAATAAAATGAAAATTAGTGAGCCTGTAAATTTTGAATTATTTCAGCTGTCATTTAATGTATATTTTCTATGACTACATGTTAGACTTTACTAAATGCTAAACATGTATCAGCACAGTTAGTGGCCATAATCAATCTTCTGAGGTAGACATTTTGATTTTTTTCTTATACAGGTGGGGAAACTGGAACTTAAGTATTTTAATATTCATCATGGTCTTCTAGCTAAGAAGTAATAGAACCTGAACTTAACTCCAGACAGCTTGGGTCTCAGACTTTCACACATAACCATAACATTATCGAACCCCATTCCAAGTTGTCTTTCCTAGGCAGTCAATTACATTATGATTCTCTAAAAATTTACTCTGTAAATTGTATTAAAATCAGCAAAGTGATCTAGAGAGGAATAAGACTGTACTCTTTAAACAAACAAGCAATAAAACATTAAAAAAACTATGACTAGAATAACACACAAAATTCTTATTGATAAATATAACCATAAAACAATAACTATTTTATTTTATTTAATTGATAAGTAATAATTGTACATATTCATGGGGGTTCATAGTGATATTTTGATCCATACAATATATAGTAATCAGTCTGGGTAATTAGTATATCCATCATCTCAAACATTTATCTTTTCTTTGTGTTGGAAATGTTTAATATCCTCCCTCTAGCTATTCAAAATTACATATTACTGTTAACTACAGTCATCCTACGGTGGTATACAGCTTTAGAACTTGTTCCTACTATCTATAATTTTGTGTTCTTTAACAAATATCTCCCTGTCCCTTAATTTCCCCTACCCTTCCCAGTCTATAGTATATTCTGTTCTACATTTTACTTCTGTGACATCAACTATTTTTTAGCTTCCACATATAGGTCAGAATATTTGGTGTTTAACTTTCTGTTCCTGGCTTATTTCACTTAACCTAATGTCATCCAGTTCCATGCATGTTGCCATGAATTACAGAATTGTATTCTTTTTGATGGCCAAATAGTATGATGGCATACGTATATCACATTTTCTTCATTCATCTGTTGTTGGACACCTAGAGGCATTTCATGTCTTGGCTATTATGAGTAGTGCTGCAATAAACATGGTGGTTCAAATGTCTTTTTGATATAATGATTTCCTTTCCTTTGGAAATTCTCAATAGTAGGATTGCTGGATCATGTGGTAGTTCTACTTGTAGTTATTTTAGGAACCACCATACTGTTCTCCAATGAATTCATTTTTCAGGAATTATAATTTTCTGATAATTCAGTGATCCAGGACCTCATCTCAAGCAAGAGCGGCCCCTGAAAAGCCATTTGCTGTTCATAAATATCACATGTCAACGCCTATGCAACTTTAATAAAAGAGCTATGGATCAAAGCCTTTGCTATGTGATTATTAACCTTTATTAATTACACAGGATTACATTTGGCTATCTAGTGTTTCCAACTTATAAGACAGTAAAAACTAGCAAATTAGAAAATGTGTACAGAGGAAGATACAGGAAGCACATAGATAAAAAACAATAAGAAATCACAGAGGACAGTATGACAGTAGAGATGAGAGAGAAAACTAAATCAAAAGAACCAACAAAAGATATAACATCCTAGAGCAATTTAGAGAAGAAGACAATCAGCTTAAAATTCGAATGGCCACTGAGGAAGTCTGCATTACATCACAGGACAATGCACAATTTTGATGATGAAGGATCCTAATTATGCCCAAGAGAATTAAATATAATTTTTAGCATTTTCATCAATTAGGCCTGAGAAGACACAATGCACATTATTTAGTTCTAAATTTACATTTATGTTTTTAGCATTATTTATTTTTCCTTTAGCAACTTCCAATTTATCCTCATATTTTTGATAAAAATTTCTTCTTGAGTTCTTCTCCCTCACGTTTCCACTGCTTCTGTTGCCTGAAAAAATTATCCCTGTATGTTGGAATCTCTGCCTTGTGCTCCAATTTTATACAAAGCAAAGAGATATGGTAATTATATGATAAATTGGGCACACTTTTCATCTGCTCTATAGCAATATTTTTCTGGTGACTGTATTTTCAAATTTTATTGACACATAATATTTGTACATAGAGTACATGCAATATTTTGTTACATAAATAGAATGTGTAATGATCAAGGAAGCGTATTTGGGATGTCCATCACCCCAAGTATTTATCATTTCTATGTGTTGGGAACATTTTAAGTTCTCTGTTCTTGCTAATTTTAAATACACAATACGCTATTGTTAACTATAGACACCTTACTATGCTATTGAGTATTAGAACTTAGTACTTCTATTTAATTGTATGTTTGTACCCATTAAACAATCTCACTTTATCCCCTCCTGACCCACACAGCCTTCTCATCCTCTGATATTTATTGTTCTACTCTCCACCTCTGTGAGATCTACTTTTAGGACTCCCATATATGAATCAAACATGCAATATTTGTCTTTCTGTGCCTGGCTTACTTCATTTAACTTAATGACCTCCAGTTCCATCCATGTTACAGCAAATGACATACTTTCTTTCTTTTTTATATCCAAATAGTCTTCCATTATGTGCATATATATATATGTATGTGTATATATATATATGTATGTGTGTGTGTATATATATGTATGTGTATATATATATGTATGTGTGTGTGTATATATATGTATGTGAGTGTGTGTGTGTATGTGTGTGTATATATATATATATATATATATATATATATATGTATATCCCATTTTGTTTACGTGTTTACCCACAGATAGACACTTAGGTTGATTTTATATCTTTACTTTTTGAATAGCCCTGCAAGAAACATGGGAGTGCAGGTGTCCCTTTGATATACTGATTTATTTACCTTTGGATAAACTAGTTAAATTGCTGGATCATGTAGTAGTTTTATTGTTATTGTTTTTTTGTTTCTTTAAGAGACAGATTCTTGCTCTGTCACCTAGGCTGGAGTGCCTTGGACCCATCATAGCTCACTGTAACCTCAAACTCCTGAATTTAAACATTCCTCTTGACTCAGCCTAATGAGTAGCTAGGACTACAGGCATGCACCATGTCTGGCTACTTTTTAATTATTGTTTTTTGTGGAGATGAGGTCTGGATAAGTTGCCGAGCCTGGTCTTAAACTCCTGGCCTCAGGTGAACTTTCTGCCTCAGCCTCTCAAAGTGATGGAATTATTGGCATAAGTCACAGTGCCAGGCTTGGTAGTTCTTTTAGATTTTTGAGAAATCATCATACTGTTTTCCATGTGGTTGTACTAATTTACATTTCCACCAAGAATGTATAAGATTTCCTTTTTCTTTGCATACTCTCCATCATTTGTTACTTTTTTCTTTTTAGTAATAGCCATTCTAACTGGTGTAAGATGATCTTGTTTTGATTTGTATTTTCCTGATGCTTATTGATGTTAAGTATTTTTTTATATATCTCTTGGCTATTTGCATATCTTCTTTTTTTTTTTTTTTTTCTTTTTTGAGTTGGAGTCTCGCTCAGTCACCCAGGCTGGAGTGCAGTGGCGCGATCTCAGATCACTGCAACCTCCGCCTCCCGGGTTCAAGGTGTTCTCCTGCCTCAGCCTCCTGAGTAGCTGAGAGTACAGGTGCACACCGCCATGCCAGCTAATTTTTGTATTTTTAGTAGAGGCGGGGTTTCACCATGTTGGCCAGGGTGGTCTCGATCTCTCGACCTTGTGATCCGCATGCCTCAGCCTCCCAAAGTGCTGGGATTCCAGGCGTGAGCCACCGTGCCCAGCCCCCTGCATGTCTTCTTTTGAGAAATTTCTATTCATGTCCCTTGACCATGTTTTAATGGGATTATTAATTTTTTTTTTTTTTTTTTTTTTTTTTTTTTTTTTGCTGTTGAGTTGTTTGCGTTGCTCATATATTCTGGATGTTAGTCCCTTGTTAGATGGATAATTTGCAAATATTTTCTATAATTCAACAGGCTGTCTTCTCACTGTGTTTATTGTTTCATTGGCTGTGTAGAAGCTTTTTAATTTAATATAGTCCCATTTGTCTATTTTTGGTTTTGTTGCCAGTGTTTTGGAGGTCTCAGCCGTGTAAAATCTTTGCCAAGACCAATGTCCTAAAGTGTTTTCCCTACGTTTTCTTCTAGTAATCTAGTTTCAGGGTTTATGTTTAAGTCTTTAATCTATTCTGAGTTGATTTTTGTATATGGTGAGAGATAGTGATCTAGTTTTATTATTCTGCATATGGATATCCAATATTTCTAGCACTGTTTATTAAAAAAGGATGTCCTTTTACCAGTAAATGTTACTGGATCCTTTGTCAGAAATCAGGTGTAAATACATAGTTTTATTTCCGGGTTCTCTATTCCATTCCATTGGTCTATGTGTTTGTTTTTATACCAACACCATGGTTGCTATGCTCTTAGAATATATTATGAAGTCAAGTAGTATGATGCCTCCAGCTTTGTTCTTTTTTCTCAGGATTGTTTTGGCTATTGAAGGTCTTTTTTTTTTTTTTTTTTTGGTTCTATACAAATTTTAGAATTTTCTATGTCCGTATAGTATTGTCATTTTCCCAATACTAATTCTTCCAATCCATGAGCATGGAATGTTTTTCCATTTACTTTACTCTTTTCAGTTTCTCTCATCAGCATTTTATTGTTTTATTTCTAGGGATATTTTACCTCCTTGGTTAAATTTATGCCTAGATATTTTTTGTAGCTCTTATAAATGGGATTGCCTTCTTAATTTCTTTCTGAACTAGTTCATTATTGGTATATAGAAATGCTACTCAATCTTGTTTGATGATTTTTGTATCCTGTAAGTTTACTGACTTTATTTATCAGGTCTCAGAGTTTTATGGTGGAGTCATTAGGTTTTTCTAGAGATAAAATTATATCATCTGCAAAGAGGTGCAATTTAACTTTCTTCTTTTCAATTCAGATGCCTTTTATTTCTATCTCTTGAATGATTGTTTTGGTTAGGACTTCTAGTACTTTGTGGAATAGGAGTGGTGAAAGCCGGCACCTCTGTTTTATTCCAGATCTTAGAGACAAGGCATTCAGCTTTTCCCCATTCACTATGATGGTAGCAGTGGGCTTGTAATATGTGGATTTTATTATATTGAGGTATGTTCCTTCTATGCGTACTCTATTGACAGTATTTACCACGAAGGGATATTGAGTTTTATTAAATGCTTTACTTTGAATCCATTGAGATGATCACATAATTTTTGTCTTTCTGTTGATGTTATAAAACACGTTTATTGATTTGCAACCATTGAACCATCCTTGCATCTGTGAGATAAATTTCACTTGATGGTGGTGTATTATTTTTTTGATGTGCTTTTGGATTTGGTTTGCTGTTATTTTGTTGAATATTTTTGCATCTCCGCTCCTCAGGAATTTGCATCTCTGCTCACTGGCCTGTAGTTTGATCATTGTTGTATCTTTGTCTGGCTTTGGTGTCAGGGCAATGCTGGCCTTGTAGAATGAGACAGGAAGAATTCTGTCCTCATCAATTTTTTGAAATAGTTTGAGGAAAATTAATGTTAGTTCTTCTTTGAAAGTTTGGTAGAATTCAGTAATTAAGCCATCCATTTTGTAGATCGCTTTGGACAATTTTTTTATTAGGAAACTTTATTACTGATTCAACCTCATTACTCATTGGTCTGTTCAGGTTTTCTGTTTCTTCCTAATTAAATCTTGGTAAGTTGTAATGTCAAGGAATATATTCATTTCCTCTATGTTTTCCAGTTTGTTAGCGTATTGTTGTTTATAAGACTCCCTGATGATCTTTTGTATTTCTGTGGTATCACGTGTAGTGTCTCCTTTTTCATTTCTGATTTTGTTTATTTGGTGTTTTTTTTTTCATGATTAGCCTAGCTAGTGGTTTATCAGTTTTGTTTATCTTTTAAGAAAACACTTTTTTTGTTTCATTGATTCTTTGTATTTTTTAGTTTCTATTTCACTTAGTTATGCTCTGACCTTTATTATCTCTCTCCTTATATTAGGAGATTTGGCTTATTCTTGTTTTCCTAGTTCCTTGAGAGGCATTTCTAGATTGTTTATTTGAAATCTTTTGATTTTTTCAACATAGGCTTTTATCATTATAAACTACCATTTTATAACCACTTTTGCTATATCTTATGTGTTTTTGGAGATTGTATTTTCATTTATGTTAGTTTCAAGAAATTATTTTATTTGCTTCTTAATGTCTTCCTTGATTCAGTAGTCATTTGGGAGCATATTGTTTAATTTCCATGTGTTTGTGTAGTTTCCAATGCTCTTGTTATTGATTTCTAGTTTTATTCCATTATGGTATGAGAAGATATTTGATTTGATCTTGATTTTTTAAAAAATTAGCCAGGCACTGTGGCTCAAGCCTGTAATTCCAGCACTTCGGGAGGCTGAGGTGGGTGGATCACTTGAGGCCAGAAGTTTGACACCAGCCTGGACAACATGGTGAAACTCCATTGCTATTAAAAATACAAAAATTAGCTAGGTGTGGAGGCAAGTGCCTGTAGTCTCAGCTACTTGGGAGACTGAGGCATGAGAATTACTTGAACCCAAGAGGTAGAGGTTGCAGTGAGCCAAGACTGCATCACTGCACTCCAGCATGGGCAACAGAGTGACACTGTCTCAAAAAAAAAAAAAAAAAGTTGAGAACTCTTGTATTCTAACATATGATCTATCCTGAAGAATGTTCCATATGCTGATAAGAAGAATGTGTATCCTTTAGCTGTTGTATAAAAGGTTAAGTCCATTTGATCTAAAGCCAAGTTTATATGCAGTGTTTCTTTTTCTGTTTTCTGTCTAAATGATCTGTCTATTGCCAAGGGTTGAGTGTCAAAGTCCCTAACTATTATTTTGTTGGAGTCTATGTCTCCCTTTAGATCTAATAATATCTTCTTTTCATATCTGAGTGTTCTGATGCTGATAGCATATATGTTTAGAATTGTTATATTCTCTTGCAGAATTGATCCTTTTATCAGTATGTGATGACTTTCTTTGTCTTTTTACTGTTTTTAACTTAATGTCTGTTTTGTCTGATATAACTATTCCCACTTGCTTTTGGTTTCCATGTGCGTGGGATATCTTTTCCCATTCAGCTAGTCTATGTCTTTTAAGTGGAAAGATTAATTGGTTTACATTCAAGGTTACTATTGATATGTGAGGGCTTATTCTTGTTTTTATTAGTTTATGGTTATTTTGCATATTCTTTGTTCCTTTCTCTCTTATTTTTTTATTACTGTTGTTTAGTGGTTTTTTGTAGTTGTAACATTTGAGTCCTTTTTCTTTCTTATTTGTATTTTTGTTCTACCAGTGGGTTTTGTACTTTGTGTGTTTTCACAATGATAGATATTGTCCTTTCACTTCCAGGTATGAGACTTTCTTAAGCATTTTTTGTAGGGCTGGGTTAGTAGTAATAAATTCCTTTACCTTTTGTTTGTCTGAGAAAGAATTTATTTCTCCTTTATTTATGAAGGAAAACTCTTCTGGATATAATATCTTTGGCTGACAGTATTTGTTCTTTCATCACTTAAAATATAAAATCTCATTGTTTCCCAGCCTGTAAAATGTCTGTTAGGACATCTGTGTTAGTCTGATGGGGGTCCCCTTAACTTTAACTTGCGGCTTTTAGAATTTTTTTTTTTTTGTCTTTGACTTTTGACTGTTGGACTACAATGTGCCATTAAAGTTTTTCTTTTAATTTTATCTGAGAATTTCTGAGCTTCCCATATCTGGATGTCTAAATCTTTTGATGATTTGGGAATTTTTTAGGTATTATTTGATTAGATAGTTTTTCTATCCTTTTGTTTTCTCTTCACCTTATGGGACTCTAAAAATTCAAATATTTTGTCGCTTTATGGTGTCCCATATGTCACATTCATTTTTTAAAAAATTTTTTATCTACCTGGATTATTTCATAAGACCTCTCTTCAAGTTCTGAAATTATTTCTTCTGCTTTATCTAGTCTATTGCTGATAAAGCAATTCAGATGCATTTTGCATTTCAGTTAACAAGTTCTTTTGTTCCAAAATTTTTAATTTTTTTCATGTTATCTACCTCTTTGGTAAATTTCTTATTCATATCCTGAATTGTTTTTCTGATTTCTTTGTATTGTTTTTCTGTATCCTCTGATATCTCACTGAGCTTCTTTAGTATCATTGTTTTAAATTCTTTTTCTGGGTTGTTATAAATTTTTTATTGGAATCTGTTGCTGCAGAATTATTGTGTTCTTTTGGAGATGTCATACTTCCTTGTTTTTTCATGTTTTTGAGTCCTTAGGTTGATATCTGCACACTTAGTGTAACAGTCACTTTTTTATTTCTTTCATAGGGGAGGACTTTTTCCCGAAAATTTATCTTTGGTATTGGTTGGGTAGGGCACTTCAGCTTTGACTCTGAATGTGTTCAGTAGTGTAGTCTTTGTATGATTTCCCTGGCTGTAAACGAAGTCAGTGGTGTCTGTGATTTCCTCAGTGGCTTAAGGTGAGATTGTTAGTGGAGGCTGTGGTGAAGTTTTGCTAGGGATAGGGATGCCAGGTTGGCCTGTTTTCAGGCCCCAGTTGTATTAGCAGTGGGCCAAGCATCCTTGTTTTGGGGCCTCATGATGGCATATGCTGGCACTGGTGTTAGCATGCCCAAGAAAGCTAGGGCATGCTATTCTTGGGCCTTCAGGCAGCTTCCTTAGGTGTCTGTAGTGACAACAGTGGGCCAAGCTGGTGGGCGGGTTTTCAGGCTTCTGGGAAGTGAATGTGTCATGGACAATGGTAGTGGCAAGACAACCCTCTGCCTCACAAATAATCTATGTTGGTGTTGGTAATGGCTGTGGTGGGCTGCACAGGCCAGTCTGCAAGCCCTCAGGTGGTACATTCAGGGAGATACCTACTATGATGGTAGCTGCAGGCTGAGCTCAACCTCAGGGCCCTGGGGAAAAAAAAGTGCTCTGATGCCAGTGGTAGACTGAGCTGGAGAGTCCCTGAGTCCTGATGACATGATTGACCACTGAGGGGCCATGCTCAGCAGACCTGTTCTCCAGCTTCCTGGTGGTGCATGCAAGTACTGGCTGTAGTAGGGAGGGGTACTTTAATCTCCAGGTACCCAGAAAAATGCTTAAGTGTGGGCAGCAATGGCTATGCTGCAGCCCTCATACTAGAGAAGGTGGGGTTGCTTTCGCTGGCAGTAACCATATGCTGGTGGCTGAGGAGTGAGCCCTTCACTTCTGCTTCAGGTATTTCTTGGCATTTCTCTGTTGAATTTCAGTGTTATCTTGTAGGTGACGTAGTTAAAATGTAATTTTCTATTCCCTATTTTGTTCTTTCTTAGTAGAGGAGGTGAGTACAAGATGCTTGTAGTCAGCCATCTTGATGCCCCTTCTCATGTTATTTATTAATTACTTCTACATTATCTGCTTCTTAATTTGAAACTGTGTGTATAAAAGCACTTGGTACCAGCTCATGTATTATTGAAACCAAGAAATTGGATTTTGTACTACAGACTGTGGCCCTCACGCTCACCTTGGAGAAGCGTACTTTGCGGACTCTTTCAGAGATTGGCAGCCTTGAGTATCCTTCTACTGTACTTCCTCCTGTGTGCCTGTAGTCCTTCCATCTTTTTTGTTGTTCAGAGTTTCAGCTCTCTCCTACTTTCATTAAAGAAGAAACTTGTGTTTTTGCATGTCATTTTTGCATTTGGGTGATTTTGAAGAGGAGAAATGGGAAATACTTACTTTATGCCATAATCTTCAAGCTGGAAGAGACACTAATCATTTTCTGAATAATTAGCATTGTAAGCAACAAAACCATCTAAAACTTGAGCATTTTAAAAATCAAGATGTTTGCTAGCTTGCATCGGTATGAAGTATGGCAGTAGCTGAACCTTTCGAATTATGAAATTTTGCCTGGTCTACGAGACAGAAGCCATTCCATTTTGATTAGTGCCTCCCAAGAATCCCACATATAGCTGAAATTTTATCAAGAAAGGGTGAACATTAGCAACATTATTTTTTTGAGTAGGGAAACTGAAATACAGAATGTTTAGAAGAAATGCTCCAAACCACTCACAATGAACAGATTTCTATAGCATGCTTACTGTATTTAGTATAATTCTCAAAAAACCTTTCCATATTGAGATTATTTTCTCAATTTCACAGATGTATAAATTGAGGCTCATAGAAAGAAGCAATCTTCCCATGATGGTTTAGATAGTAAGTAGCTTATTTGTGGTTCAGATATAAAAATGGTCAAAACTGCTTCTCTTCTAAATTCTCAGGCAATTGACAACAGGTGTCAACAAATGAAGATTTTCATCAACCATATTTTGCTGGAGGATATGCCTTAGTCCTCCTACTACGTACATAATCTAGAGCACAGGAACTTCTAGAGAAAAGCAAAATCTACAGAGCAAAATCTGGGCATATTCACTGAGCCATCTGCAGGGCTACTTGCACCTGCATCAAACCCCATTGAGAGAACAGATTCAAGAGAGGTGTAAAGTGTCAAGCCTCAGGACTGCACCCAGAGCATGCTAACTTCCTAGAAGCAGGAGTAGGGAGAGATTCAGTAAGTAAATCTGAGAAAAAAAATAAAAATAGGCTAGAGCTAGGGCTACCCACAGGTAATGATGTTTACCCCAACTCCACCAATTATTTACCACCCCTTTCCCATATGGGCAGAGGAAAGGATTGGGGTGGAGAGAGAGACTGGGAATATTCCTTCATTATTGTGTTGGCAAAGACATTGAAGTTTTCTCCCCTTTCTAGAAACAGGATAAAAGACTATCAACACCTATGTAAGAAAGACCTACTGTTTTCAGAGTCAGTGAGTCATCCAATGCCCTATAACTGCCACCCTCACCCACTCAGTGGAAGAAAAAATAACTAAAACATTAAGCTCTTGCCTTTAATTTCCACTCTTCACCACTGATTAAAACCAGCCATTAAAAACGGCTGGAGGAGAGAAAGTCTGACTCTTTTTTTGTTGTTGTTGTTATATAGCTCATTTATTTCTTCAACAAATTTGTTGAACGGCAATATTAGTTAAGGCAATGCAAGCTGATGTCATAAATAAACCCACAAATCACAGTGGCCTAAAATCTTAAAGGTATAATTTTCATTCATGGAAGCAGTGCAGTGTGAGCAACTGCAGGATTCGGGCAGCCAGGATCTGTTCATCCTGCACAGAAGATTGTTATTGGGACTCTGATCTCCCACCACTTACAACAGTGTCTTGGTTATAGTAGAAACATCAGCACTCTCCCATGTCATTCATTCTGTTTGGTAGTTAAGCTGGGTCTCACTCTCTATCTGTCCCTTCTCTGAAAGGCTAACAAATTATTTCATGTATTCCCCTCTCTCCATCTCTAGAACGCTGCCACTGGGTCCTTCCCCTTCCCCTCTTTGTTTAACTGTCTCCTTTTTAACATGGCCAATTTCATTTTCTTTTCTTTCTTTTTCCCAGTCTATTGTTTTCCTCCAAGCACATTTCCTGTTTGTGCCATTGAATTCTTGCCTGTGATCATCTGGAATAAAAATCAGCTTTCTCACTTAATAAACCAGCTACATAGCACATTCTATTTACAAAATCCTTTAAGTATGTCTTCCTTAATAATCCTGAGAAGTGATTGAGTTGGTTTAAATCTACTTTTCCTAGGCTCTCCCCTTACATTCTTTCACAAATCTCACTGATTTTTGTTTGTTTGTTTTCAAATTCATCATGTTTTGCCTGTCCATCTGTTTCTTCCAATGCATGGTCTCTAGCTTTTTTAGATAGAACTTCATGGGCATCTGCTCTGGGGTCAACTGTGTGGAACTGTAGTTTTCCCAAGCCTCACCACCCTCTGGGTACATATGTGGGAACACTAGTATTAATAACTAGTTTTTCTGGCTCATTTCTCCAAACCGACAGTGCATGTGCCCCCACTCCGTGAAAACTCCCTCTTAAGGATTTTTAGAAGCCCCAGAGGCAGGTGCGACATATGTTGCCCCTTCACGGATCCCGTCACTCTGCTGGCCATGGCCACTTCCTCCTGCTGCTCTGCTGGATGTGTTCTTCACTCTTCTGCTCTTCGGGGTGCAGCAACTCCCTGGAAGTGGCTGCTGTGGCTCCATTTGGCACAGAAGGCAGTGCCATTGCATTGTGCTCCTCATCTGGCTTCCAAATTCTCTCTTGCTGATCCCTCCCTGAGCTCAGTGTGTCTCTTCTGGGGGACACCCTGAACATCCCCAAGTCAAGCATGCTCTATGTTATATGGAGAATGATAGAGAAGGATTCCCTATTTTGTTCTGTATTAAGGTAAATGCGTCTCATTGAAGTGCTCCTGGGATACTGCATTAGTTTGCTAGGGTGGGCATTAACAGAATACCACAACTGGATGGCTTAGACCCCAGAGGCCACAAGTCCAAAATCAAGGTGTCTGCTGGCTTGGTTTCTCCTGAGACCTCTCTTCCTGGCTTTTAGAAGGCCACCTTCTCTCTGTGTCTTCACATTGTCTTTTCTCTGCACACATGCAGTACACAGGTGTCTGGTGTCCAAATTTCCTTTTATAAGGACACCAGTCAGATTTGACTAGGGTCCACCCTGAGGGCTTCATTTTAACTCGCTTACCTCTACAAAGGCTCTGTCTTCAAATACAGTTACATTCTAAGGTATTGGGAGTTAAGATTTCAACATATGAATTTGGAGGGGCACAATTCAGCCATATCAGGTTTCAGTGAAATTTAGAATGTAGAGAAATGGTTCTTCCTTTTTCCTTCTCTCTCCATGATACAGACGGGCATTTGAAGTCAAGTGTTTGGTAACTTCTCTGGCCCCCCCAACGGACACCCATCACTGAGAATTCCTATGCACCTCTGAAAGCTAGGCATGGGTTACTCCTGTGTTGGTTGTGGCTTCCTCTTTCCAGAGACACCCACAGACGCCACACTAAATGCTGTTTGTGGAGCCATTATATTCAGCACACATATGCAGACACACAAGAACCCTCCACAATGGAGACATTTGGACTTAAAATGAATCATTGGTAACCGTGTCACAGTGATGGTGCTCAGGGGACATTGAAGACTGTGAGCTCTGCAGCCACACTTGATGAGTGCACATCCTGACTCTGCCTAACTTCTTAGCTGTGTGGCCTTGGGTGAACTACTTAACTTCTCTGTACCTTACTTCCCTTGTCTCCAACATATATTTGACAAAAATAGTACATATTTCAAAGTGTTCTTGTGAGGGCTTAATGAGTTAGCACACACACAAAAAATACTTAGAACAAAGTAGGGTATATAGGAAACGATCAATAAAAACTAGCTCTTATTACTGTTATTTAACTGCCATGGTGGGTGGGCAGGTCTCTATGATACTCAATAAATATATGTGAAGCAAATGCATTATTATTACAACATTAATTTTCCACATTTTCATGTTCATTCAGTCATTACATATATTTCACTTAATCCACCAAAAAGATAGCACTGTTCATCCCATTTTGTATATGAGCAAACCGATAACAAGAAAGTTTAAGAAATTTGACCAAAGTTACACAACTAATGTGCAGAGTAACTTAAGATCTCTCTCTCTCTCTCTCCCTCTCTCTCTCTCTCTGTATCTCTCTCTCTTCACTTTATTACCTTGTCTTGTAATTAGTACTGTCTCCAAACTCCCTATCCCTTCCGCTCCAAAACAACTCCATCTCCTGTGGATAAATGTGATGTTATTTGGTTGTCTTTCATTGTGTCATTTTAATTCTGTGCTTTAGGCAGTAATTTAGAAAGTGCTGGAGGCCAGTTTGGCTGGAACACGTCAAACAAGTATGTGATCAAACAAACACAGAAGATATTCTCCCAATGTGAATGGAGAGATGTCCAGCAACTCTCAGCTGTGCTGACTGAATGTACCGTGCTTGCCCAGACCACTGCTTTACACCAGGAGTTAACAAACGTTTTCTGGAAGTGGAAAAAAAGTGAACATGTTTGGATTTGCAAGTATTCAGTTCTGCTTTTGTAGCCCAAAAGTAGCCATAGATAACACACAACTAAAAGTCCATGAAAATGTTCCAATAAAATTATTTATGAAAGCAAACACTGGGATGCATTTGACCCACTTACCAAACCCTGCTTCATACACATTTCTGAGTTTAATCTTCATGATATCCCCACACATTTGTCATGTTGATTCCTGTTTTAAGATCTGGAAATGGACTCTATGGACCAAATTAGGGTCAGCATGTTTCAGAGAGGAAGAAAATGGTAGGAACATCAGTCTTGGGAATGGGAATTCTTTTTATTGTTGGAGGATGTTTCATGCCTGGGCTTCCTGCTGTCCTCCCTCTATTCACATTAGCCTGCATATCTGCATAGTAGTTTATGGTAGATTCAAAGCCCTTTAATAGACGACCAGACAATGAGTTTTAAGGTGCTTCCTAGAAGATGACAACAATGATGTTGTTACTTACTGTTACTTGTTTGGCTCACAAGTTCAGTAGTTAAGAATCTGCTTATGTCTTTCCAGGTACTTTTGGTAAAAACAGGGAATGATCCACAAGATACAGAAATTTCTTTGTGACCTTTTAGCTTATAGTTAAAAACGTAAGTTTTGGAGTGATACAGTCCTATTTGGTTTTCCACAAAACAAAGATGCTACTACTTACTATGTAGAATTGTTATGAGGGGTCAATGAAAAAAAAATGTTGGTTGAATACTTAATATACAGTTTGGAACATAATACATGCTACCAAATGCAACAATCATTACTTATTTTTTTTCTTCTCTCTCATCTCAGGTTCTGCCCCTCACCCTCACCAGTGCTAGGCTGCTACTTGTCAATCCTCATTTTGGGATATTAGCTTAGCTTGAGATTTCTCAGCCTCCACATGGTTGACATCCTGAGCTGGACAATTCTTTGTTGAGGGGCTTGTCTAGGGCATTTGGGGGTGTTTAGCAGAATCCCTGGCCTCTACCCACTACATGCCAGTATACATTTCCAGTTGTGAAACAAGTATTTCTCCAGACATGCCCAATTTCTTCTGCAGAACAAAATTGTCTCTGGTTGAGGACTATGGGCCTCACTCACAGTGAGCTTCTTTCTCCCATCTCCTCTCCTCTATACTCCAGCCGCCAGGTTAGGTCTGCCTGACCTCTGCTTCCATCCCTGGTGATTGGATTAGGAGCAAGAACCTAACCTAAGACAAATCATTCAAGTTTTACCTCTTGAGAATATTAAATTAAAATTGAGAACAAGTCATGCCGTTCCATTAGGATTCTTGCTCCAAGGAGATAATGACCTGGGAGTAAGGGAAAGCATCTTAGCTTCACTTCTTCCCAAAAACACACAACCTCAGTCTGCAGAAACAGAGCATGACCCTTGGGAGCAGACAGGAGAGATGCAGTTTAGGCCCCATGCAGGGTTTCCTTTAGGTACCAGGCCTTGGAGAGGTCTGATGATCTTTCTGTCTTGGGTTCAGTGTATTACAGAATCTTCCGAATACATCCACAAGCTGCTCCCACTTTCTTTTTTCTTAAATTCAGTTGTATAGCTTTCTCTTGCTTGCAAACAAAAGAGCCTTCAGTAAGACACTATTCAGAGGGTTGTTGGGGTTTTAGAGGGACAGTCAATAGGATTCCTTTCCTCTTCTTCTAAACTTGGAATTGCCAGTCAGAATTCAATCAGGAAAAAAAGAAACACTCTAGCAATTTCAAAAAAAGATAATTTAATATAACAATTAGGTTACAGAGGTGCTGGAGAAATGAAAAGCCCATGATGAAAGAATCAAATGGTTTATTATGTAAGAAAACCACTATTATACTATGATTCATTGAGTTAATGTTCTCAACTATTTTCCCTCCTTGTGTTTACAACCTTCTTAAGGCCTCATCATAAGTAGGGTGCATACCTCACCCTTTGTTTTAGGCTTAGCTGTTTCACTTATGTTGGCCAATAACATGTAAATAGAAGTAAAACTTTGCCAGTTTTGAGCCTAGATCCTAAGAGGCCTCACAAGACTCAGTTTTGAATCTGATGTGTAAAAAGCTTGAAAATAGATACTCCAGTTTTACCATAAGAAAAAGCTGGACAAACTGAAAATCAATTACTTTTCTAGGACTAATTAGAAAAAAATGATTTTTCAAAGCAAAGTACCACCCAAAATTTGTAGACACAAGTACACCCATAGGGCCACACCTGAAATCCGCTTGCCTAGAGCAAAAACCACTGGAAACATACAGTGATAGGAACATGAACATGGTAATTTGGAAGAATTGCTGGAGGCTGAGCTGGACTAGCTTGAGAGTGAGATAATCCTGAGGTCTGCTGCCTCAGGGAGCCCCCACAGTTTTATGAGTTTGTCTCCCAGAATCTCGCCAGGTTCTCATAGTGAAGCTAGGAAAAAGAGCCCCTCATGGCTTAGGCAGCTAGTGAGGAAGAATAATCATTATAAAATATTCCAAGAGCATTCTTCATGATGAAGGCCTACTTTCCAGGGTATGAAGGTTTTTCCAGAGCCTTATCCTAATTTGGGGAGGACATTCCTCCCACTCTAGTTTGATTCAGCATTCCTATTTCACCTAAGGGGATAAAAATATAATTCATGAGAGGTAAAGTAAATATTTTGAGAACACTGCAGCCAAGGAAAGGAGTACCGGGGAGTAGAAAAAGCTATGCGACTAGAGAAACCCTTGCAAAAGTCACAGTCCAAAACTCGGGAAATTAAGTTTTACTAAATTCTAAGAAGTCAGAATTTAATAAAAATGTTATATACTGTTCTCCACCCCCTATACTTTAACATAATACCGGTAGGGCTCCAGTATAATAAAGTGGATTACAGCAGGAAGAGCTGCAAGACACAGACTCTTTCTAAGAAGGGGCACTTAGGGAAGCCCAAAGTCAAGAGGAGAGACAAAAACATGGGCACTAAAGAAATTTGAAGCTCTAGAACTTACAGCTATAGAGAACATTAAATCCAGCACAACTAGCCAGATTAATATAAATTCTCACAGTAAAGACTTATTCGCCTCAGTTTCTAATACCTAAACAATGTATCTGGCTTTTAGGAAAAACTACAAGGCATGCCAAAAGCCAAAAAAAAAAAAAAAAAAAAAAACACATATGAAACAAAGAAATCTTCAGAAGCAGACTTAGATATTACATAGATATTGGAATTATGAGATAAAAAATTTTAAAAAGCTATGATGAATATGCTAAAGGCCCTAAAGGAAAAAGACACAAGATACATGAAGAGATGTGTAATGTAAGCAGAGAGATTAAAAAACTAAGAAAGAATCAAAAGAAAATATAAGAAATCAAAAACATTATAACAGAAATGAAGAAAGGCTTTACATTAGACTCAACACACCCAAGCAAATAATCAATGAGCTTGACAACTGGTTAATAGAAAATCCCCAAACTGAAATGTGCAGAGAAAAAAAATTAAAAAGCCAGACATAACATCCAAGAATTATGAGACAACTTAAACAGGATACCAGAAGAATAAGAAAGAAAGAACAATGCAGAAGAAACAGTTGAAGTAATAATGGCTGAAAACATTTTATTAACAGGCACCTAGGCACAGATCCAGGAATCCTAGAGAATATCAAGCAGAATTAATAGCAAAAACAAAACCAAACCCAATATCTATGACATAAAAAAACATAGACATGTCACATTTAAATTGAAAACAACCATCTTATATTCAACAAGGCTGATGAAAGCAAGTAATGGGGAAAGGATTTCCTATTCGGTAAATGATGCTGGAATAACTGGCGAGCCATATGCAGAAGATTGGAGTTGGACCCCCTACCTTTCATCACATACAAAAATTAACTCAAAATGGATTACAGATTTAAATGTAAGACTTCAAACTATAAAAATCCTGGAAGACAATTGAGGAAATACTATTCCTGACGTCAGCCTTGGCAATACATTTTTTGGCTAAGTCTCCAAAAGCAATTGCAACAAAACCAAAAATAGACAAGTAGAACTTAATTAAACTAAAGAGCTCTGCACAGCAAAAGAAACTATCAACAGAACAAACAGACAACCTGCAGAATGGGAAAAGTTACTCTCAAACTATGCATCTGACAAAAGCCTAATATCCAGACTGTATGAGGAACTTAAATCAATAAGCCAAAAACAAACCCTATTAAAAAATGAGAAGACACATCTCAACAGACCAAAAAAGTGGCCAAAAAACACGAAAAATGTTCACCTCACTAATCAAAAGAGAAATGCAAATCTCTCACAATGAGATATCATCTCACGTCAGTCAGAATGGCTATTACTAAAAAGTCAAAAAATAACAGATGCTGACAAGACAGTAGAGAAGACGGAATGCTTATACACTGTTAGCTGGAATGTAAATTGGTCCAGCCACTGTAGAAAGCAGCCTGGCGATTCCTCAAGGAACTTAAAAACAGAGTTACTGTTTGACTTAGCAATCCTATTACTGGATATATGCCCAATGGAAAATAAATTATTCTGCTAAAAAGACACACGCACTCATATGTTCATCACTGCACTATTCACAATAGCAAAGACATAGAATCATCCCAGATGCCCATCAATGGTAGATTTAAATAAAGAAAGTGTGGTACATATACACATGGAATGTTACATAGCCATAAAAAAGAATGAAATCATGTCCTTTGCAGCAACGTGGGTGCAAGTGGAGGGCATAATTCTAAACAAATTAATAGAGAAACAGAAAATCAAATACCATATATTCTCACTTATAGATGGTAGCTAAGCATTGAGCACACATGGCTATAAATATGGGAATGGTAGACACTGTGGACTACTAGAAGGTGGAGGGTAGGATGTCTTAAAAAAACTATCTATTGAGTACTATGCTCACTGCCAGGGTGACAGGACCTGTACTCCAAACCTCAGCGTTACACAATACTCTCATGTAAGAAATCTGTACATGTACTCCTTGTATCTAAAATAAAAGTTGAAAATTTAAAGAAATTATGGAAAACTTAAAGACATAGAGGAAATCTTGAAAGAAGCAAGAAGAAAAAGAACTCTTCTATTGAAGAATAATAAGAATTACAAGCTGACTTCTCATCAGGAACCATGAAAGCATGGAAAGAGGGGTAAAATATACAAAATGTTGAAAATTCAACAGAATTATCCTTCAAATGGGAAGGAGAAATAAAGTCTTTCTCAGGCAAACAACAAATGAGAGAATTCATCGCAACAAATCTGACCAGAAAAAAATGTTAGAAAAAATTCTTCAAAAAAAGAGAGAAAATTATGCAAGTCAGATACTCAAATCTTCATAAACAAAGGAAGAGCATTAGAAAAGAAATAAATGATGGCAAAATGAAATTATCTTTCTTCCTATTCTTAATCTAAAATATAACCATTTGTTTAAAGCAAAATTGTAACAAGGTATTGGGTGATTATAGGATATGAGGAATGAAGGACAGCAATGTGGCAGGGAAAGAAGGGAGGAGAGAATACTTGAGTATAAGGAATCCATCTGCACTGTAAGTGAAGCAGTATAGTGTTATTTGCAGGTAGAAACAGATTAGTTGAAAATGTATATTGTAAACTCTAAGGCAATCATTACTTTTGGGAAAAAAAGTGTAGTTGGCATGCTAAAGGCGGAGATAAATGGGGAAAAAGAGAGAAAAATAAAGAGAAAATAGAATGAATAGTAAAGTTAAAACATGGCACATATTAATCCAACTACAGTAGTCCCCACTTATCTGCAGTTTCATTTTCTGCAGTTTCAGTTACCTACAGTCAACTGTGGTTCAAAAATATTAAATGTAAAATTTCATAAATATTCATGTTTTAAATTGCACGCCATTTTGAATATTGTTAAAATGGTTTCATTTTGTTATTATTGTTGTTAATTTCTTATTTCACCTACTTTATAAATTAAACTTTATCACAGATCTATATGCACAGAAAAAAAACATAGTATATCTAGAGTTCAGTGCTCTATCCACAGTTCCAGGCATCCAGTGGGAGACTTGGAGCACACCCGCTGTGGATAAGGGAGAACGAATGCCGGTGTGCCCCTGCTTCCATCCTTGCTGACTTACTATGGCCTTACTGCAGTTCTCAGTACAGCAGCCAGTTACCTCTTCACAATATCAATCACCTCACATCCCTCCTCTGTTAAAAACTGTGTGAGGATATCCCATTTTACTAGGAGCAAAAACTAAAATCCTTCCAGTGATGCCTACTCAACTTTCCAACCTCATTTTTGTGGTCTTGCCCTTGCCCTCTCCTCTCCAGCACTCTTGCCCTCCTGCACGAGAGGCAGACAGTTCTCCCTCCAGATTTCTCTATGACTAACTTGGTCACCTCTTCCAAATTTTTGCTCAAATGCCACTTTCTTTAGAGTCTACTCTAACCATCCAATTGAAAATTACAATCCTTCTTTTCCTCATTACTTCTCTCCATGCATGTTTTCTATTCTCCTTATCAGCTCTATCTCCCCCCAGTACTTTCGACTTTCAACAGATTATGAAGTTTATTTATTCCATTGATGGTTCATTATCAGCCATCCCCAATTCAATATAATTCCAACTAAGGCAAAAATTTTTGTCCACTTTGCTGATCTTCTAGGACAATGCCTAGCTCACTATTTGTCAAATAAATGAAGGAAGTCATAACAATATCTACAGACTTCTTCTGATGTTTAAGGCTTACACTGTGACACACACTGTGATCTGGGCATGTACCTCATACCATAAACCAGGATTCAACAAAGTGGCAGCACAGGGGCCAAACCCGGCCTGCTAACTCTTTTTGTAGTAAAGTCATTGGCATACAGACATGTTCATTTGTTTACTTATTGTGTATGGCTGCTTTCACATTAAAAAGGCAGAGTTCAGTCGTTGCTATAGAAATCCTGTGGCCCCAAAATCCTGAAATATTTACTCTCTGACCCTTTACAGAAAAAAAAAAAAATGCTGCCCCTGATATAGACCACAGCCTTTGGCCCACTGTTTTTAAACACACAGACAAACAAAAAACTAAATACAAATTTCAAACCTGTCAGTTTTCCCTTTTGTCTGGCTTCCTGGACTGGTTTTGTCACAGTTTTGTGATATATGGTCTGGCCATCGTTTGTATATTGAGTCTTCCAAGGAAAATGAAAAACACTTTAATAGAAAGTATTTGAGTAAATCATAGGAGATAAAGGAAAAAGTTGAAGGAGGAAAGATGAAGAAGTTAGAAGGATGATTAAAGATAAGGAAAGGAACTGTTATATTTCTGATTAGATAATCGAAATTATTTAGGTGGAGAGGAAAGTAGAACAAAAATCTAAAATATCTGAGTCATCAATATATGCCTTTCATGTCCCCTTAATAAAGAAAATACAAACCAAAGATCTGTGTTTTGTTAGTTTTTTTGATTGTTTTTAAGTTCCATAATCTAAAATAATACTCTCCCTAAGTTGGCCCAGCTTATTTTGACTGGAATTTTGATTAAAAGACCAAGCATCTTCACACAGTCAGTAAAATATTCAGGAGACTGAAGAAACCCATAAGTGAATACAAAAGCACAGTTAGATTGATTGATAAGAACTGCCTCTAGCAATGTGTTATATCAACTCCTGGAGTTCTCTGCTTCTTGAGGGTCTGTTGACATTTCATTATCCACCTTGTAAGGTAAAGTTATAGCTCACCCATTCTAATTTCCACTCACTGAAATTATAGGTCACAAAATATTTCAGCTTAAATGCAACAATCCCTCCACTGTTAAAAAAAAAAGGAATATAAAATGTCTTTTTATTTCTGATTTTCCGATGGAATAGATTTTGATCAGTCTGAATTACTTTTGCTCACAGCTCAACAGTCAATAATAAATTCTGTATATCAAATAAATTATAAGAATTTAAATAAAGCCAGAGTTTAAAGTGGATTAATTTTTATGGCTTCCTATCTATAAAATGGTCTCATTTTTAGCAATTTCCTGCCCAAGAAAAACCCTTTTTAAAAATCAACTTGTCTTTGAAGCAGAATATGCACAGTGGCTTTTTTCATTACAACACTGAGCTTCTAAAAGTTGATTGATTTTCATGAGAAATCTAGCTTTTTTTTTTACTTGCTGATGAAAGTGAATCTATTGCAAATTACACATGTGAAATCTTTATTACAGTTTGTTACCTCAGTTTTAGAATTAAAGACAGAACTATTTGCGCATGTGAAAATCATAGATGGCATATAAATGGGTGTTTTCTGAGTAGACATAGCCTATAGGGGTTTGAATATTTTTAAGTATTCATCAGGGTGCAGCCCTTTTTTAGGTTATAATTGTGAATCACTGTTGTTCTGGGTCTCTAGCTGGCATCAGATCTTCCTTAACCTTAAATCTCTGTAGATAATAAAACAAAAATAATAACACCATTTTCTCACTTGCTGGCACACAGAATTGGAAAAATAGCCCTGGCCTCTGAGTCAGGAAGTCAGTGTTCTGGACTTGTCCTTGCCTCTAGTAGACATGTGGTCATTGACAAGCCCTAACCTTTCTGGGCTATAGTTTGTTCACCTGCTAAAAGAGGGGTCTGCATTAGATAATCTCAGAGGATCCTTTTCAGCAACATTCTACAACCGTTAAAAAAAAAATGTGATTAACTGTCTAGGAGCTGACCTTCTCCAAATCTTGTTTTTTTCAAAGAGCAGAGGTGTTAAGCTAATGGTTTCTGTGGCCTCTGAAGAAAGCACACTTAAGCATTGTTTAATTTAGTAGTTTTATTGAGATATTTTCTCACACAATTATTACAAAAGCATCCATATTCTCTGTAAAATAAATGAATGGACAAGTAAAATAAGAAAATGCTTGCAAGACAATAAGCAAAAGGAACAGAAAGTGAACATATAAAAAGAATGATTAACATTTATGTGTCTTTCTATTTCTAATTATGCAGCTACAGAAAATGCCAATGTAACAGCATGTTGGGATGAAAATAGAATCAAAGAAATTATCTGCTTGTTTCCCAAAAAGTTATTAATTAATTTATCAACTCATTCACTTATCTGTTAATTCAACTAGTTTTTGATGTACTATGTGACAGGTGCTTTTCTTGACATAGGGGACAAATAACACAAGCAAGATCTTGTCATGAACAGAGCTTACATTTTAGTGGGCACTGACAATGAATAGGTGAACATATAAATAAATAATAAATAATAACATTCACGGAGTGATAGTGCTATGAAGAAAATTTAAAAATGGAATGTAATAAAGAAGGGGCCAGGCAGCAAGAGACATGACAGGGCTGTAGATTGGTTGGATAGGGAAGGAGATGATCATTTGAATACCAGGAAAAAGAGAGTTCCAGGCAAAAGTAGCAGCAGGAGCCAAGACTCTAGGGCAGGAGAGTAGTTGGGGTTTCTAAGGAAAAGCAAAGGGTCATGGTGGCTGGAGTGTGGTGAGCACAAAGAAGTATTTAAGTTGTGATTAGGGGAAGAGCCAGGACCAGATCACATAGGAACTTTTAGGTAAAGGCAAAATAAATCAGTTCTTTTCATTTCTAAAGTTTATTCCATTTTCAGTGACCCAAATATACAGCTTGTTCCCTCTGTGGCACCTAAGAAAGTAGAATCCTGGATATAAGTAGAAATTGTCTCAGCAGATATCAACAGTAACAATAATAACTACTAACTTTTACTGAGTACTTACACTGTGCCAGGCATTGTACAATTGCTTTTATGTATTAATTCAGGTACTTCTTACACAACCCATGAATATCACAAAATCTTTTTGTAGACAAGGACACTGAAGCTTAGAAAGTTTCTATATGTCTTGTCAAAATCCACAAAACTAGAAAGTGGAAGATCAGAATTCAAACACAGATTTCTGATTCCGAACCCCAATATAGACTCATTTTAAATGTGATGAGAATAATGGAGTTCAGGAAGTAAGCATCTGGCCTGAATGAAAGCTCCATGAAAGAAGAGATCTTTGTTATGATGAAGCCATTGAGACATAGAGAAGTGCCTTTCACGTAGCTGGCAATCAAAAGAATATTAATTGAATAAATCTAAAATTTGCCATTTTGCAGAATTCAATATAACTGGAAGGGAAGGATGGAGAATGGGTATCACTTCTCACTTATTTTCCAAATGTTCACATTTATTTATTTTTTCAAAATTTGTCACCTTTTCTTCTAAACAACTTTTTTTTGTTGTTTATTTAAACCATCAGTTGCTATGCCTCCCATGATGAACACTTTTTCTTGGCACTACTCTTATTTTCCTGTCCCGCTGCCTCCTTGTCTGATTCCCCCTCCATGACTCTTTTCTTTAGACCGTTGTTAATTTACTTTGTGTAATTCAGGCCACTGCATGTACACTCTTCGTGGAATCTAGGTCCTGCTTCGTTGTTTCAGGACCTAATTATGAGAAGTGTTCCCACTTTGCCTGAGCATTAGCCTTGCCCCTTACTGCGGTGGAACTTGACCAAGATAGCTGTGGATCTGGTGTTCTTTCCCTTTATACCGTGGGGGTGAGCAGAAGCAAGACAAGTTACTGGTAAGGAGTAAGAAGCACAAATGCTGAAAAGACACTGAAAGGGTGAAGGTTAAGAGAGATTATCAGAAGACAGGTAACAAACAGAGTTACAAAGACAGACTTTACAGAGCAGAAAAACCAATAAAGAAATCTGTCAACCAAAAAAAAGACATTGGAAAAAAATTATCCCCAAATATGTTGAGTTTATCTGGGGATGAGAAGAAAGAGGATTATAATCTGGGATGCATGGAATGGCAAGCCACAAGTGCATTTGGTTAGGGAAGAGGAAAGGGAAGCTTTTATTGGCAAAAGGAGAGAGGTTCGCATTAGCTACTTAGAAAGAGAGTTCATTGGTTCCAGAGTCTCAAAGCCAGAATTGTTGTCAGCTTGCTGCTGGATATGCTGTTACTGGTCAAGAGTTCTTTATGAGAGCATCTTACCTAAATTACTGCAGTCCTCAAGAATGTCTAGTAATCAACCTTGTCATAGAAACATACCTATACATGTGAAACATTTGCAAGCGATGCAAACTGGGGGATGCATAAAGGATGTGAAGGGATTTCTTGTGGCAACAGTTTTTATCTCAGACATGTAAGCTTGAGTCTCCTTTCCTTCAAGTCTTCCTGACCCTATTGTGTCTAGTTCTGACAAAAGCAGTTTTATCCTCGTATCCACAAATTCCACAGGCCCAAGAACAGATAAGCAGCCAAGAAATGGAGTATCCATCTAGCTGGAAGTCATAAAGTAGAGTAGGGCCAGCCAACCCAAAGAAGTAGAATTGGGCTAGGCGCAGTGGCTCATGCCTGTAATACCAGAACTTTGGGAGGCCGAGGTGGGTGGATCACCTGAAGTCAGGAGTTCAAGACCAGCGCTTGGCCAACATGGTGAAACCCCATCTCTACTAAAAATACGAAAGAAAAAATTAGCTGGGCGTGGTGGTGCATGCCTACAGTCCCAGCTACTCGGGAGGCTGAGGCAGGAGAATTGCTTGAACCTGGGAGGCAAAGGTTGTAGTGAGCCAAGATCATGCCACTGCACTCCAGCCTGGGCAACAGAGCAAGACTCTGTCTCAAAAAAAGAAAAAAAAAATAGAGAAATAGAAAAGAAATAGGATTGGGTGAAGCTAAGTGAGCATGGATTAAAAAGCCTGAGGTCAGGAAGAGTATGTCTGCAAAAACAAGGTGGAAGGTAATTGGCCGGTGTTGTCCCAATATTAGTTGTCCACATTCACTTCTTTCCTAAACAAGAGAGACATGCAGTGGCCAATGACTGATAGGGTCAGGGTGTCAGAAAAAGGATGGACATAGTTCCTTTGGTGATTCCTGTGCCACATGAACATATCTGCAAGGACTTCAGGCAGAATCGCTGGAGTAGGGCTTGGAGGAAAGGCAAAATGGCTTCATAGAAATCTCTCCTCCTATCTTTTTCTGGACTCCTATCCAGGATGGTGGTTTCAGATCAGGTCAAGCAGGAATATTTGTTAACATGAAAGGTATTTTATTTCTTAGGGATGGTCACTTGATGATAATGTTGGAATATTACTATTAGCAAATCTAAATTTAATTTCCCTTTTATTTCCCTTTCATGTAATGTTCAGAGTTTTCTTGATTAGGCCACTTCAGCATCATTAGCCACTATACTCAATCACCTGTGTTATCAGAACTTTGTGTTGATTGTTTGCTCATACTTGGCTAAGAGTTCTTGTCCTGGGGCCAATGAGTCTGGGCTTTCAAGGATGCCCTTCTTAGAGTCTGTGAATTATTGGTAACTTTATACAAATTATATGTAAGTTTATATGCATTTAGTTAGTTTCTTGAAGGAGTCTATGACTCCAAGAAAGTAAACCGCCATACTATTTCCTCAGCCTAAAATACTTATTTTCCTATCACCATCTTTCAGTAACATTATTTAATCTTATCCTTTAATGTCTGGCTGATGCCGTCTACTTGTTAAACATATTCTAGATTGTCCAAGCCAAAATTAAATAAGTCTTTCCTCTCAACTTCCATTATGGTTTGGATGAGTCTCTAATTGACAACATATTTCAATTTGCCTAATGCTAAGTTGATAATTAAATATCTGTCTGTACTAATGGATTAGAAGTTCCTTGGGGAGACAAAGACCCATACATCATTCATCTTTGTGTATACTAATTGTAATAATACTTTATAAATAGTATATACACAAAAATAAAAACTTCTATGTTACTGAGCAGGATGCTGTTCATTTTATTGAATTTAACAAATTCTGGAATATATCTGTCTAGGTCCTTGGTACTCAGTGTACTTTTCGTTTCTTATTGACTTAAATTCCACTTGTTCAACCATACAATAGCCTCTGCCATGCCTGAGCAGCCCTATTCCCTACTTACAACCCCAGCCCTTAGTCTGACATAACACTGGCTCTGCCTCTAGCCCTAAGCACATCTCTCTGCCCGCCAGTATCCTATGGTTCTGTGTTAACTTCAGTTTCAAGTCAGCCTCTTAACACCCATTCGAAAATGACTTATGGAAAGGGAAAATAGGTACCAGACTCTGAACTTAGTATTGATCAAATGGTGGGCAAGAATCAATGCTGACTTTCAATCACTACCTGTACTTTATTTGCAGAACTTATGGATGTTGATTTGATCGCTTATGTAGTATCATGAGTCACATCGGATTTTAATTCCACAAGGATTCTGTACACCTGACTCATTGCTGGCCATAAAAAGACAATTGTGAATGCTGACTTCTGTTGGCCTCTAAGTGGCCTTAGAATACTATGTTGCTGCTTTGAGAATTTGATCATACGTACATAACCAAAGTTTGATCACCATGTCTTTCTTTCTTTCTTTCTTTCTTTCTTTCTTTCCTTCTTTCTTTCTTTCTTTCTTTCTTTCCTTTCTTCCTTCCTTCCTTTCCTTCCTTCCCTTTCTTCCTTCCTCCCTCCCTCCTTCCCTCCCTTCCTTCCCTTCCTTCCTCCCTTCCTTCCCTTCCTCCCTTCCTTCCCTTCCTTCCCTTCCTTCCTCACTTCCTTCCCTTCCTTCCCTTCCTTCCCTTCCTTTCCTTCCTTTCCTTCCTTCCCTTCCCTTCCCTTTCCTTCCCTTCCCCTTCCTTCGTTCCTTCCTTCCTTCCTTCTTTCTAGTTTTGTTATTTTTATATCGCTGCCATCCATGGAATATCTTGTCCTAAAGCGGAAAGATTGCACATTAGCATGAGAGATGTCTCCTCTAAATATGAGATAGTTGCAAAGAAATCATAATAATAAAATGGAGTGTGCGCATAGTGTGCCTGTGTTTTCTCATTATGGTATATTTGGCTGTGATATTCTTGTATTGAATGTACCACTTGTATGTAATAAAAAATGATATGTGACCATTTAGAATTATTATCTTTCTTTCATGACAATACTGGGGACTACTTTTTTATTGAAAAGGGTACTATCATTTGCATGTTAAATTTTTAAATGGATTTATTTATTTTAAGGTACAAGTAATAGAGGGAAGTTTACTACAGCACTTTCTGGACTTTATTTTCTTTCTCTGTTGTTGTTTTTCATTTGTTCTGATGTCTTTCAGATTCCCCATCAAATTTTTGAATGGATTTCTTTATTTTAAGGTGCAAGTAATAGAGGGAAGTTTACTACAGCACTTTTTAGACTTTCTTTTATTTCTCTGTTGTTGTTTTTCATTTTTTCCTGATGTGTTTGAGATTCCCCATTACACAAAGATCATTTCCACAGTTACATGGGCCTGACTAGCTGATGCAACAAAGAGCCTCTAAAAAACTCAGACCTACTTAAGGGAAAGAAACCTTGATTTTGTTTCACACAGTGAGTAAAAGAAAACAAAAAGTAATTACTCCCTCCATGTGAAATGAGTAAGAGTCAGAGTAAGCCGGGTCCCCTTCCTTTTTAACCCCCTTCCCTTGAGATGTACAGGCAATATTTACCATTTGTGTATTTATGACCATGGAGATTTCCTACACTTTAATTTCCTGGGTATCAATGGCTCTAAGGAGTTTTTGGCATTCTCTTACCCAAAAGGATCTTGAAACTTGTTTGTATTTATAACACAATATCTACCCCATCAATGTGTGCTGGATTTACACTATTTATACCACCTTTTTTTCACCTAGGCTTCCGGGCCAGCTTAATTTGCTCAATGCATCTCACACTCTCATTTTTCTTCTTGATCCCCTTACTTATAGTCAATATCATATCATTCAGGTGTTGCTTTATAATTGTCTTATGTGTACGTCATAGATTATTAGGTGTGTTATTTTGGATAAGTCACATAATTATTCTCAGCTTCTGTTTCCCTCTGTGGAAAGTGAGAGTAATAGTAATGACTTTGATGGGTTCTTAAGGAGACACCTCTCTCTTCTTCATGTTCCATCCCTACCTTAGTCTCCAGATAAATGAAATTCAAACTTTTTTCCCCTTCTGCCAAAGTACTGTGGAAGTATCTTATCCACAACTCTCCACCTACTTGCTGTTATCACCAAGAGAGGAGTACCCTATTTTACAGATGAAAATTTTACTTTCCTTGTGTTGCTTCACCCTTGGATAGAATTACTCTGCTGAAAATGACTGCTCACACATGCCATCTTCTTCCAGACCAGATTGCTCAGGTGAAGTGGGTGTTCTGCCTCCACTCCTTACTGCCAAGTCTCAAGCATACCAGGATAAGGCTACCGCATAAGGAAGGGAGTGGAGCTATGTTGACTGTGCACATTCGTAAGTGTTTGTGGAGCATGCCTGCTCCACTGGCAGCTGGCTGAGAAAGTCAGTTTACTCTGCAGACCCAGCACTTGCCCCCAACTTTACGTTAGGGAGCAAAAATGAGATCTTCACTTTGTCCTCTCCCTATTCCTTCTATCCAGCTATAGCGGAGGCCATATTATTTAGGATTGTCTCGGTCCAGCAATAAAATCAATGCTTGGATTTCACTTGATCCCCTTGTGCCTATTTTCCTGTTGGTCAGGACCACAAAGAGTGGAAAGCAGCTTGTTTATGCAGTTAACACTCATGCTCCATCATACCCAGCCAAACTTCAACAAGTTATTATGGCAGTTAAATAAGATATCATATGTAAGAACATTTAGCATAGCCTATGCTATGTAATAGGCATTTATTACTTTGTGGGCATTTTTCCATCTTGGACAGAATTTCTGTTTGTTTCCTTTTTATGTTGTATTTTATGCCTGTAAAGTACAAAGTGGCATATTGGACCTATGGAGAGTTCAATGAATTTTGCTTGTTTGTTTGTTGTTACTAGTTAAATTGACAGTGGCTTTTAGATGCTTAGGAGACTCAATACTCTTGTCTTCCTTATGAATATAAGACGATCTTTATATTAGCAATCTTTTTCTTTGCTTTGAGTTTTACATCAAAGGTGATGTAAACTCAATGACATAGATTTACCTTTATAATTCCTTTAATTGAAAACACTTTACAAACATGTTGCTTAATTTAATATATTTCTGCCATCTAGAATATGATAGGTTTCAATCTCGATCAATACTTTCCATATTATATACATGTTTATACATGATATACATATAAATTCATATAACTTTTCCTTCACCAGCATTTTAAAGAATGTGTAAGTGTGTACTAGACAAGATTCCTTTACATTAGCTCTGCTTTTAAATTGTGAACACATTTCATTAGTAACTCGTATATTTTTTTAACTTTCTCAAGTCTTCTTCTTTTTATTTAAGTTCCAGTTTCATTTGTTCCTATTTCTTCCTTGGGAACATCTGAATTTTCAGGTTAGATTTTTATTTTCTGCCATTATCCATAAGTATTCTATGTTTGGTCTTATTGTATTCACCATTTCATTCTTTCCTCTGAGATTTTTGCTCCAAAATAGACAAAACAGGTTTCACAAGTTGAGAAACTCAAGCTAAGAGATTAAATTATTGGCCTGATGCATTTAAACTCAAATTTTTATTTTAGATTTTAACTTCAGTGCTTTTTCCACCAGACTGAGTGATCTTATTCATATAATTACTTGATTTCCTTAAGGCCCACCTGAATTTATTATTAGATTTGGGATGTGTTATAATATCATTATTAATTATAGCTCAGCATTATTTTTTAAATAATATATTACATTTAGTTAGTTGACAAGTTTATAAAGTTAGAGAATCCGAATTATGAATTTTAGATTAAAGATAATTATATCCATTCAGACACAGATGTGCCTCTTGTTCAGAAAAAGCTTTAAAACATTTGGATTTAACTTGGCCCTGTGTGCATTTTTATGACGAATTCACATTTCAAATGATATGGTGTTTTTTTGTTCCATGCATAACCAACCTTCTATTGGTATCAATTACTAGCACTTGGATAGAATTTTAAGATGAATAAATTTCTTCTCACATTTCTCATGGAAATCTCCCAAACTATTTCTTCAGATGACAAAACTGAAGCTCAGATAAATTAATACTTGCCCATAATTAGAATGTAAGTAGCTTAGTGGAAGCTTGAACCCAGGTCCTTTTTTCTACAAATTATCTTTACTGTTTTTTTCTACTTAATTTTAATTTTTGCCTAATCTGAATGAATTTGAAATTTGTGCATAGGAGGCTTATTTCTTCTTTGCAAAGAGTTTTATTTTTTTCTTTTTAATCACAGCAAATGTGGGTGTCTGATCTTAAGTCACACACTTACACATAATATATACAGTATATAAATAGATACGTATGTGCTGTCTGCATATATATGTAAATATATACACATATATACACACACATATATACACATGTTTATATATATATATATATATATATCTGCATCTTAATATCTATCTCATTGAAGAGGTTATTTTTGTATCTTTCTCTCTCTCTGTTTTTCAAAACTCCATCTCCAAATGCTCTACCCTAAATCAATTAATGAGGACACGAGACACAATGTTGTTTCCTGATTGCCCCTGCCACGTGGAACCCAGAACTTAAGAATTTGACCAGAAACTCTACAAACCCAGAGAGCCTATTCTAATTAGCTCCTTCTCCCCTTGTCCAGATATTTAGAATGGGTCCTAGTTTGGGTGGATGTATACGCATATGCTATAGGAGTTCCTGAATTTCTTTAGCTCTCCCTGGAAGATAGCCGTGAGCTTTCTGGTAGGTGAATGAAATAGCCCAAGGCTTACTTTGTTCAGCATGTTATATAAGGTGAGTTAATTTCTTAAGTGAACCATAGGTTTTATGTATTTTAGTTTTGTCCAGTAGAGGGACCAGGGAGGCAACGTTTAAAGTTTTCTGGTCTACACACCTGTAATTATATACGGGTGACTTAAAAAAAGCTTTCAAGTCTTGTTAAATGCAATTGGACTTAGGAACTGAATCTATTTGAAATTATTGCCCTTACAAATACCTGAATAAAAATGTTGCTAAAAGTACAGAATGTTGTGTGATGCTTTCTCCATTTTTAGGTGAAACTCATTGACATCCAGTGGATGCCAAATGCTAATTAGTAAGTAGAAACACAATCTTGATTTTTACATAGATTTTTACTGAAAAATATGTGAACTTTCACAGATACACAACTAAAGATACAGCTTTCACGGAGACACAACTAAAATTGTTTGTGTCAAACCATTAGCAGTCAATTTATACTTAATTTGTCGATCTGCATTCCATAAGATGCCTATTGATTTATAATTTCTCCTGAAATCATGAATTCCCTAGCTAGGTTGTAAGAATTCATTGGTCCTGACACCAGTTATTCGTTTTCTTCTTTTGTAGTCTCGGGCTTATTAGAAGAATATATCTTGAAAAGTAAAATGTGTGTTGCAAAATCCACAAATCTTTTTCTCACTGGGGTCATTTGTTTATTCAACAAAGAGTATTTGGGCAAATCCTATGTGCCAGGGGCTGCACAGAGTCCTGGTGATTCAGTGGTAAATGACTAAGATATGGTTCCTTCATTACTCATGGAATTTCTGGTTAAGCAAAGAAGACTGACACGAAGAAAGTGAAGACCAGCAAAATAAGAATTCAAAAGGTGTAGAGTGCTATGGGGATATAGCGTACGTACAGAAGCTGAGGCCGGCAGGCTGAAAGGGACTTAACTTTCACACTGTTTGGGAGAAAGCAAGGGTGAAGAGAGATACAGGCGGCGGAAAATTAGGAAATGAGAGGCAGGCAGAGAGAGAATGAGCGAAGTGAGGAAAAGACAGAATGGTATAGGCAAAGAAATCATAGGCAGATCAAGAAAGACACTCAGTGGCCAAAAACTAAATGAGGCATGAACAAAACAAAGATGAGGTGATGAGAAATAGGAGGTAGTGAGTTGGGGAGGGTACAGTAAATCCTTTGTTTTTGTCTTCCAAGAATCTCTTTGGACTCCTCTGTGTGACAGAACTCTGATTTGTCTTCAGAAAACCAATACTCTCCTAGTCTTAGCCCACATGGTTTCAGGTGTTGATCTCGTGCCCTAGATCTGTCAGTCTGGAGTTGGACATGCATTCCCAGCCTGTCAGACTTACAGCTTAGATGTGCTTATGAAACCCCAAACATGGGGTTTCAGATAGATAAGAGATATAATCTTGCCCTGGGGTGTTAAGCTGATACAGCACGTGCTTAGAGTTGCTCTTGATATTACCTAGGGGCTCTCTTGATATTACCTAGGGGCTCTCTTGATATTACCTAGGGGCTCTCTTGATATTACCTAGGGGCTCTCTTGATATTACCTAGGGGCTCTCTTGGTATTACCTAGGGGCTCTCTTGGTATTACCTAGGGGCTCTCTTGGTATTACCTAGGGGCTCTCTTGGTATTACCTAGGGGCTCTCTTGGTATTACCTAGGGGCTCTCTTGATATTACCTAGGGGCTCTCTTGATATTACCTAGGGGCTCTCTTGATATTACCTAGGGGCTCTCTTGGTATTACCTAGGGGCTCTCTTGGTATTACCTAGGGGCTCTCTTGATATTACCTAGGGGCTCTCTTGGTATTACCTAGGGGCTCTCTTGATATTACCTAGGGGCCACTCTTGGTATTACCTAGGGGCACTTGCTGTAGAATAAATGAAACCTAGAGGAGAGTAATGTTGATTTAAGACAAGAATTATGAGATACATTGTTTGAGCACCTGGATGAAACCATATTTTATCTATTCATGGATATCTCCTTTTGGCTAGCTGTGAGTTGGATTTTCTGACATTATAATACCAAGGGTCCTGATTATACAAAGTTTGGGGCAGTTGAAGCTATTGGATTGAAGCTATTGGAGACAAGAGACGAGAAAGAAGCCCCATGCAATTAGAATTGTTTCATCTGTCAAGGTGTCAAGTTTCTGGAGGCAAATGCTTCCACTGGTCAATTTCCAAGCCTGGGTCAGTTCTGGCTCAACTTCAGCCTGCTGACGACATTAAGTATGTTGAAGAGCACTTTAAGCAATCTCCACACTGTTTTCCATAGTGGTGGTCCTAGTTTACATTTCCACCAGCAGGGTAAAACTGCTATCTTTTCTTCGCATCCCCGCCAACATCTATTAGTTTTTTTATTTTTTGATTATGGCCATTCTTGCAGGAGTAAGGTGGTATTGCATTGTGGTTTTGATTTGCATTTCCCTGATCATTAGCTATGCTGAGCATTTTTTCACGTTTGTGGCCATTTGTATATCTTCTTTTGAGAATCATCTACTCGTGTCCTTAGCCCATTTTGTGATAGGATTGTTTGTTTTTTCTCATTAATTTGTTTGAGTTCCTTGTAGATTCTGGATATTAGTTATTTTTCAGATGTTTAGATTGTGAAGATTTTCTCCCACTCTGTAGGTTGTCTGTTTACTCTGCTGATTCTTTCTTTTGCTGTGCAGAAACTTTTTAGTTTAAGTCCCACCTATTTATTATCATTTTTGTTGCATTTGCTTTTGGGTTCTTGGTCACAAGCTCTTTGCCTAAGCCAATATCCAGAAGGGTCTTTCTGACATTATCTTCTAGAAATTTTATGACTTTAGGTCTTAGATTTAAGTCCTTTATCCATCTTGAGTTGATTTTTATATAAGGTGAGAGATGAGGACTTAGTTTCATTTTACTACATGTGGCCTGCCAATTATCCCAGCACCATTTGTTGAATAGGGTGTCCTTTCCACACTTTATGTTTTTGTTTGCTTTGTCAAAGATCAGTTGGCTGTAAGTATCTGGCTTTATTTCTGCATTCTCTGTTCTGTTACATTGGTCTATGTGCCTTTTTTTTTTTTTTTTTTTTACCAGAACCATGCTGTTTTGATGACTATGACCTTATAGTATAGTTTGAAGTCAGGTAATGTGATGCCTTCAGATTTGTTCTTTTTGCTTAGTCTTGTTTTGGCTTGGTTCCATATGAATTTTAGGATTATCTTTTCTAGTTCTGTGAAGAATGATGGTGGCATTTTGATAGGAATTGCATTAAATTTGCAGATTGCTTTTGACAGTATGGTCATTTTCACAATATTGATTATACCCATCCACGAGCATGAGGTGTGTTTTCATTTGTTTGTGTCGTCTATGATTTCTTTCAGCAAGTGTTTTGTAGTTATAGAGGTCTTTCACCTTCTTGTTAGGTATATTCCTAGGTTTTTCTTTTTTTTTCTTTTTGCAGCTATTGTGAAGGGGGTTGAGTTCTTGATGTGATTCTCAGCTTGGTTGCTTTTGGTGTATAACAGAGCTACTGATTGGTGTACATTAATTTTGTATCCTGAAACTTTGCTGAATTCATTTATCAGTTCTAGGGGCTTTTTGGAGGCATTTTTAGGGTTTTTTGGGTATACAATCATATCATCAGCAAAGAGTGAGGGTTTGACTTCCCCTTCACTGATTTGGATGTCTTTTATTTCTTTCTATTGTCTGATTGCTCTGGCTAGGACTTCCAGTATTATGTTGAATAAAAGTGGGGAGGGTGGGTATCCTTGTCTTGTTCCAGTTCTCAGAGGGCATGCTTTCAACTTTTCCCCTTTCAGTGTTATGTTGACTGTGGGTTTGTCATATATGACTTGTATTACATTAAAGTATGTCCCTTCTATGCTGATTTTGCTGAGGGTTTTAGTCATAAAGAGATGCTGGATTTTGTCAAATGATTTTTCTGCGTCTATTGAGATGATCATGTGATTTTTGTTTTTAATTCTGTTTATGTAGTGTATCACATTTATTGACCTGCAAATGTTAAACCATCCCTGCATCACTGGTATGAAACCCACTTGGCCATGGTGGATTATCTTTTTGCTATGCTGTTGGATTTGTTTAGCTAGTATTTTGTTAAGCATTTTTGCGTCTATATTAATTAGGGATATTGGTCTGTAGTTTTGTTGTTGTTGTTGTTGTTGTTAACGTTCTTTCATGGTTTTGGTATTAGGGTGATACTGGCTTCATAGAATGACTTAGAGAGGATTCCCTCTTTCTCTATCTTGCAGAATAGTGTCACTAGGGTTGGTATCAATTCTTCTTTGAATGTCTGATAGAATTCAGTTGTGAATCTATCTGGTCCTGGACTTTGTTTTGTTTGTAATTTTTTAAATCTCTATTTCAATCTTGCTATTTGTTATTGGTCTTTTCAGGGTTTCTAATTCTTCCTGATTTAACCTAGGAGGTTGTATATTTCCTGATCCAGCAATCCCACTACTGGGTATCTACCCAGAGGAAAAGAAGTCAGTATGCAAAAAAGATATTTGCACACTCATGTTTATAGCAGCATAATTCACAATTGCAAAAATATGGAACCAGCCCAAATGCCCATTAATCAAAATGTGAATAAAGAAATTGTCATGTATATACCATAGAATACTATTCAGCCACAAAAAGGAAAGAAATAATGGCATTCACAGCAACCTGGATGGAACTGGAGACTATTATGCTAAATGAAGTAACTCAAGAATGGAAAACCAAACATCATGTGTTCTTACTCATAAGTGGGAGCAAAGCGATGAGGATGCAAAAGCATAAGAATGATACGATGGACTTTGAAGACTTCGGAGGGAAGGGGGGGTGAAGGATAAATGATACAAATTGGGTACAATGTGTGCCTGGGTGATGGGTGAACCAAAATCTTACAAATCACCACTAAAGAACTTATTCATGTATCCAAACACCACCTGTTCCCCAAATACCTATGGAAATAAAAAAATTAAATTAAATTATTTTTTTAAAAGAGAAGAAGTCATCTGGAAGATTTAATTTTAAATGATTTTGAGACTGTAGTGGATACTCAGTGAATGCTTATTGAATTAAAGGCTAAATTGAAAACTATTTAAAAAAATAAAAGTATGTTGAAGAGCAAAGATGTGCTCTAGGTAAGGGGGCCTGTGGGAGGCACTGCCTTGATCCTAAGTCCAAACTTAGAGAACCTGGCTTAAAGCTAAGGCCTTTAGCAACAATAGAGTTGGTAAGGCAGGGAATTTATTTCAGTTTATGGCAATTATCTGTGGGAATCTGAGACGTAATGTCCAGAAGCAATGAGCATTCGATGGCACCAATGTTGGCAAATAAGCAAGGTATATAACTGAGAAATTCATGGGGTTTCACTAATGATTTACTTGGTGCCTACTATGACCCAATTTCTAGGCCAGACTTTTTTTAGGGTTTTGAGGGAATTAGAAAGCACTGTGTCTCCCACTGAAGGACTTGTAGAGGAACTCTTAACAGGTATAACAATTAGAGATCAGTACATGGCAACATTTCTTCAATTTTTTTCTTCTTTTTTGCTTGCGAGGAAATCTACAAGCCACCACCAGTAAAAGAGAAATTCACAGAAGAGATGTGGATAAGAATCATAATAAAAATATCAAGACATCAGCACTAATGATTTTTAGTGCTTAATATGAGCCACACACTGTGCTAAGCATTTTAATTTACATTCTCATATAATCCTAATAAGCACATTATGATATACATATTCTATTAATATCACCATTCTATAGATGAGAAAACTGAGCCCTATAATTACTAAGTAACTTGTCTAAGTTTATACAGGTAAGGAACAGTGGAGCTGGGAAGCAAACTTAGTTTGTCTGATGGCAAAGATTCATCCAAGGGCTGGATGGGTAGCCAAGATCTTCAGAGACTGAAATAGGCACTGGAAAACCAGTAACTGAGAGTCGTTCCCCATCTCTCTCACTTCAACTTCACTTCTCAGATTGCGTCTCTCTTACTGATTTTTGTATCTAATTTTTGTCTTCAAAATGTTTTCAATCTCTCTTTTATCCCACAATTTATCTTGTTCTTAGCCATATATGGTTGAGTCAACATCAAATCTATGCATTTTTTGTTTAAAACCGCTACCACTGATTTAGCTCAATGATAGCCTCCCAGGCTAACTTCCTGGAAAAGAAATATAACTGGGATTTTGTGATTACTTATGTTTCCACTTATATGGACTGTGAGCAGGGATAGTTCAAACAACGATTGCACAGGTATCCCAAACTAGCTACAACAATTTCCAAACTGTGTGATCCAAAGCATAGACTCAATAGAAAATTAGAGAAGGGATTGAGTTGTGAACACTTCCTAGGAATATTTAACCTGGACTAGTCTTTAGAAGCTGGGACAATCTGGTCTGGCAGATACAGTGTTGGAGCATTCAACACAGGGACAGTGGAGAGGAAACAAGAAGAGCAGGTTCACGAAATGTGGAAGAGAATGTTCTGCCCATACCCAAAGGTTTATGGAGGGAAGCACCAGAAAGTAAAATAGTGTACAATTTTTCTTCTTCCTCCAATGTCTTCTCTCCAATATATGCCTTCTTTTGACTTGTGAAAATCAGCTTTTTGATATTCTGGGCTTCACAGATTTCTTCCTTTCAAGGCAGCGTGATGTGACAGAAAGGACAAGTAGCAGGGGAGCTGGTTTCTGGTCACTGCCTCTCAGAACAGGAAAATACCTTAGACCCATCACTTCACATCCCTGTGGATCATTTTTTTGCATCTCTCAAACCCTTGCCTACCTTATGGGTCATTATAGGTTTAACTTGCATTTCTTGATCACTGAAGCAAAACCATCCCATTAAATTATTTAAACCATAAATCTCACAAATGTCTTTTACTTGTAGTCTTTTCTTCAAAGATGGTATTAAAGTGAATAAGCCTGATCACAAGTCTGGCTTGAATCATGAACAAGACTTCTAGCTATTTCATGTTCCCCATGTCCTTTCCAGATAGGACTGATGGAAATATAAAATTTCAGTTTAATCGGATTCAGATGTTAGTGATCAGATCAGAGTTGTCATATTCAGCAGTGGCCACCCACCCCCAACCATTTGTAAGGAGCTCTGTTCAATGTTTTATTGACTTTGTGAAATACTGTATCATATAAGTGCAATTAATTTTGTGAATTGATATATTTTGAAATATAGAAAGCAATTTTTCTGAGGAAATTATTTTTATATCCCCATCTTCCATCTGATAATATATGTCTTACATTTATATTCTCAGGTGGGAAATGACACAATAATACTAATTAGAATCTTGAAAAACATGCTTATTTTTTCTTTCAGTCTTAGAAATTTGAAATGTTTTATACATACACAGTTTTACATGTCTAGCATTAGCTATATATAAGTACATATACATACACTAAGAAGTTGCAAAGAGAAAAAATTCAGTAAAATCTAGTATGACTTAGAATTCTCAAATACCTGAAACTTTTTAATACATGCAATTTTTTTATTAAGAAAAAGGCAAATAACTAAAAAACAATATTTATTGGGAAACTTGTAAAGATAGACTAAAAACATTCTACTCTATGCCCTCTGGTCAGTACAAATTTTGTTTTATAGCCTTCATTTCTTCTTTTCTTCCAGGACCCTATAGAGAAGCTGTATTAGTCTGTTCTCACACTGCTATGAAGCACTGCCCGAGACTGGGTGATTTATAAAGAAAAGAGGTTTAATTGACTCACAGTTCCACATGGCTGGGGAGGCCTCAGGAAACTTACAATTGTGGCGGAAGAAGAGAAGAAGGCATGTCTTACATGGCAGCAGGTGAGAGAGAGAGAGAGTATGTAGGAAGGGAAGTGGGAAGAGACCCTTATAAAACTCACCCACTATCACCATAACAGCATGGGGTAAACTGCCCCCATGATCCAATCACCTGCCATTAGGTCTCTCCCTCAACATCTCAGGATTACAATTCAAGATGAGATTTGGGTGGAGACACAAACCTAACCATATCAGAGGTCAAGGTTAAAAATGATTACCTCTAGCTGGTCAAGATTCCTTTGCCAGTTTCTTATTGCCACTGTAACAAATTATCACAGATTTAATGGCTTCAAACAACACAAATGTATTATCTTGCTATTCTAGAGGTCATAGTTCCATAACAGGCTTTGAAAAAAAATGTTTTGGCTGAGCTATGTTCTTTCTGGAAGCTGTAGGGAGAAATTCAGTTCCCTTCCTTTTCTGGCTTTGAGAGGCTAATGGTGTTCCTTGCTCAGGGCCCCTTTTCATCTTCAAACTCAGCATCACAGCATCTTCAAACATATTCTCTTTAACCTCTGCTTCCATTATCACACCTTCTCTCTTACTCTGATCCTCCTGTAAAGACCCTTGCAATTAGATTGAGCCCATTGTGATAATCCATGATAATCTCACAAATCTCAAGATCGTTAATTTAATCTCTTCTGCAAAGTCCCTTTTGCCATGTAAAGTAATATATTCCCAGGTTCTGGAAATTAGGATGTGCACATCATTGAGGAGGTAGTATTCTGCCCATCACAATTATCAATGATAAATAATTCAAATATTATTATTTGACTTGGCCTAGACACTTGCCATTTGACTCATGTCAGTAAACAATCATTAAGGTTGGATAGGTCCTAATGGATGAGGTGCAATTGAGTTATGGTCTTCACTAACAAACAGCTTACAAGATAGACCAATAAATAACCAAGTGAAACTCAAAGCAGAATGGGGCCTGAGGTCGGAGGAGGCATGGACTGTTCAGACAAAAGAGAAGCAGGCACATGGCAGTGATGCCTCTAGGGAATTCAAAGTTCTGAAGGGGGTTAGATTAGGTGACCTTTCAAGCCCATTTCAAGCCTTATATTTCCATGACTCCTGCTGCTGAATAGAGTCGTAGCAACAAATTAAGTTTAAGATTTGTACCCTGTTGACTTCTTAAAGGACTTGCGACAGTGTATAGATTAGAGCACAGTACAAGACAAGGCATTTAAGAATGGGAAAGAACAGAGTCCATCAGACAGAAGTGGGTTTTTTAAGCTTCAGAATTGAGTATGTTGAAACTCTTGGGCTATAAATGTGTATTTTATCTTTTGATTATTATGGCCAAAAGGAAAAAAAAAGAAATATAGTTAAATAACCCTTTGGGGAGGGGGTGGGGAAAGAAGAAGGCAAACTTAAACAATAACTTAGTATCCAATTATTGAATAAAGAACATCCAACAACATAATGGCTAATAACCTCAGCTGTATTTTTGTAAAGAATAGAGCAAATTTTAATAACAGTGATTGAAACACAAATACCACTCTGGTGAAAACTCATTGACTGAATCTTATTCTTCAGATTCTTCTTTCTCAAAGAACTATCTCTTACAGAATTTTTACTGCAATTTAAAATGTTCCAGGGGTTATTTCTTTTTAAAGGAGTCTTTGGGCTATTATTCACCTCTTTGCACTAATCCCTTAGAATCTTTCTGAGCAAATTTAAATTATTCGTACCTTGGAAAAGAAATCCAATTATTCAGTCCTTCACGAGACTGATTTAATACTATGATTTCCAAGTAATTGAAGCATTGGCATCTGTGGATCTGATTAGTTACATCTGCTCAGAGGAAAGCCTGGATGGTCTTTCAGAAGGTATTGGGGGGGTGCCACGAAAGCATTCCTGGGGGCCCTCTCCCTCTACTCTTGAGAGATATCAGTAAGCATCTGACCCTAACAGGGTTTGCTGATGGTCCTTGCTGTGAATTCTGTCAGTTCTATGGAGAAAGTGCAGAGCCTCACTGCAAGGGACAATAACTTCACCTAAAAGAGTCAGAAGATGCAGTGACTTTTCTGCTGTGTACTTTTAGCATTATTGTATATTAAGCTCTTTGATGTTAAAATGATAATTGCAGAGAAAGACTCCTATAGGACTATAAATTAAGGGGCATGCTTCCTCTGTCTGAGCTTTTTGTGCTTTATTCACATCAAAAGGCAATTACTTTTTGTGCACACTTAATCCCACCAGTTTAATGGGGCATGTAAAATATGCCTTGCAATTTGCCCTTAATCTTAAGCTTGCTGAAAATGAGGACCTGCTAACCATTTGGATTCTTAAAAACAACAGACTGCCCTTCAATAACTTAACCTTTGTTTAACTTGGCTAAACTAAACAATTTCTGAGAGTTGCATTCTTGGTGGTACCACGTTATTCTCACAGAAGATTTTCCTAAACATTATTAGGCTCCAAGGAAGGGCTGGATGCCGGGTGCTATATGGCACAGTACTGCCTGAAACTTCTTCACTGATGCCTGGGGAGGGTTTGCCTCATCTGCCAGCAAAGCCAGGGACAGGAGGCAAGAAATAATGTTGGTGTCAGAGTCAGCCCAACCTGTGTTTGGACACCAACCCCACGCTTACTGATGGACTGATGGGGTGAATTCACATAAATTAACCTCTCATCCTGTGTCTTCATCTGTAGAACAGAGTAAGTATACCTTGGGGAGCAAGGAAGCTCATATAGGAACTCATATATGAAAACTGGCTTTCACATGCTACATTCTTAAATGGAAGGAGTAGTAGCCATCAGATAGTGGTTGTAGAAATAGTATTTCTATAATTAATGTTAAAATAACTATTTAGGATCCAAAAAGTGGCACTATGGATCAAAAACACTTAAGGGGAATGAGCTAATGTTTAAGGGACATGAGGGTCAAAAATCAGGAAAACAAAGACTAAACATCTCAGGCAAAACGCAGCAACAAGTTCCAAACAAGAAAACAGAAGCACCTGTCAGAAAGGAGCAAGTGAAAGCTCATGTAGAGTGGAGATAACACTGAGAACAAAGTGAGGAAGGTGTTGTTGCATGGTTAGGGAAAATGCAGAGGCGGTATTCAGAGCTGATTTTTATAGTTGTTCCAGTTAAACTGTGCATTAATCAGCTCAGTCTGCCATAACAGGATATCATAGATTAGGTGGCTTAAATGATGGAAATTTATTTTCTCACAGTCTGGAGGCTGGGAGTCCAAGATCAAGGTACCATCTGGGTTGCTTTCTGGTGAAACCTCTCCTCCCTTCTGTCTATTCTCACATGGTCTTTCCTCTGAGCACATGCAGAGACAGTGAGTTGAGAGACAGAAAGAGAGAGCTCTGGTGTCTCTTCCTCTTCTTACAAGGGCACCAGTCATATCAGATTAGAGCCTCACCTTTATAACTTCATTGAACTTTAATTACTGTAAAAAAAAGTCCTATCGCCAAATGTAATCACACGGGAGGTTAGGGCTTCAATATATGAGTTTTGGGGGACAGAATTCATTCCACGGCAGACAGATTAATCCTAAAGTGATGTTGTGTATCCCACAACTGTTTCCATTTCAATAAGGGCCTCTTAAAACAGAAAAGACATTGAAATCCAAACAAATGACGCATAAAAAGTAGAATTTTAGGCACAATCGTTAGATTATTAGGAAACTATTTGGGGGATGGGGACTTTTCTGCTGCTTTCCAAATCACAAAGTGTAGTACCTCTCAATTCTACCTGTAAGTAAAGCCCTTCTGGCTTCTTGGTCTTTTCAGTTTAAGCTCTAGGGTCCTGCTTGAGTCTTTGTTCATTTAGCGGACTAAATTTTATTTCCTTTTATTATCCCTGGCTCCTGTCAGTTGCCCTAACATATCACAGTGAAGTGCTGATGAAATTAAACTTACAGATATCTTCAGGCCTTGACCTCAGGACACTTCATTTGTCTCTCTTCTCTATATCCCTGTTGATATCCAGTGTTGCCTTTGATTTAAGAAGACATGTCACACTGGGTGTTCCTGACCATTCCATGGAAAGACCTGCTGATTTGAATCAGAAATGTCATCTTGTGTCCAAGGAAATCAGTAGAGAGACCACTTACCTGGGTATCTAATGACCTGCACTCAAGTTGAGCTCTGCCAGGAAATTACTTTCAGATATTCATCAATTTCTTATCAATCTTAGGACCTTAGTTCCCACATACAATAAAAGGGAGTTGGATAGGATCTAAATTGAGGCTGGCCATGATGAGTCATGCCTGTAATCCCAGCATTTTGGGAGGCCAAGTGAGGAGGATAGCTTTAGACCAGGAGTTCAACACCAGTCTGGGTAACCTGACAAAACCCCATCTCTACAAAAAATATAAAACATTAGCCTGGCACGGTGGCACACACCTGTAGTCCTAACTACTTGGGTGGCTGCAGTGGGAAGATCACCTGAGCTCTGGAAGTCGAGGCTGCAGTAAGCCATGACCTTGACATTGGGTGAAATGAGTGAGATCCTGTCTCAAAAAAAAAAAAAAAAATCTAAGTTGAATATATCTAGAATTTATGACAGTATGGTCTCATCGTTTGGGGTTTTAGGATACTCATAGAATGTAGATTGGAAGACAGCTGCCCAGAATGAGCTATAAGGATGATATACCTTCATCTAATATCCACCTTCATGCTTATAGAAAGAGCCATACGATATTTAAGAGGATGAGGAGGGCGAAGTGAGAAAACAGGGCCGAAGAGGAGTATACAGCAGTATGAATGATTGCCTATTTGACTTTCAGGTGATATTATGCCAAACGCATCACTACTAAGTATTGATTTCATGTGACATGATTTGGTCATTAGACATGGGATTACACTTGGAAGGTTTCTAAGGGAAGATTAACTTTGAACAGAATTTTGGAAGATAACTTTCTGTGTGTGTGTGTACAAATAATAATATTGTATGTCTGCCTTCTTAGAAGCCCCTAAGACCCCTAACTTCTTTTCCCAAGTCATCTCCAATTGATGTTAATACAGAAAGATTTCTATAACAACATCATCTTTGTTCTAAGCAAGTAGAAAGGAGATCCTAGGGAGGTAAATTCAGAAGATCAGAGTGAAAAAGAATCTTCAAGAGGGAGAGGAGCATTAGACATCCAAGATAAAACCAGGAGGTAGGACAGTAGTGCTTAGGTTGAAGAAAGTACAGAGGAGATGTCCTTGTCAATGAGAAGGAATGTGTTGGAGAAGGGACTCTATGAATATGGTGTTTAAGAATTCTTTGCATAGCAAGTAATAGGAAACCAAACTCCAACTCACTTGTGCCAAAAGAGAATGCTTCATCTTTGGGGGCTGAAGAATCCAAGGGAAAAGCTTAGGCATTGCATGTAGAAGAAAATAACATATCCGCAGCTTCTTCTTTGACCTTTAACTTTTGTCCTTCCAGAATATTTAGGAATGTCTCATAGAACCTTATCTACAGTTCAGAAAATAGGGTTTTGTTACAGGCTGAATTGTGTCCTCTCAAAATTTGTAAGTTGAAGTCCTAACCCCCAGTGCCTCCGAATGTGGCCTTGTTTGGAGCCAGGGTCTTTAAAGAAGTAGTTAAATTAAAATGAAGGCATATGAGTGAACCCTAATCTAATGGGACTGGTGTCCTTATAAAACGAGGAAGTGTGGCTACTACAGAGAGAAAACCATATGAAGACACAGGAAAAAGATGGCCATTTGCAAACCAAAAAGAGAGGCCTCAGAAGAAGTGGACCCTGCCAACACCTTAAACTAAGACTTGAAAAATTGTGAGAATGAATTTCTGTTGTTTTAGCCACACGATCTTTGGTACTTGTTAGAGCAGCCATAGCAGATTAATACAGGCTATAAGATGCTTGATTCTGAATTTTAGAATTTTCAGCATTGGAATAGTGACTACCATTGAAAGAATCTTTGTCTAGGCACCTGGAAACTAAGATATGAAGAGAGATGTTCACAGCAGGCCAATGCCCTGATGCAAATGGATCACAGTAAATTCATCCTACTAATCCTAACGATCAGCCAAGTTATGGATGCTTCACCTTTGTAGGAAGCAATTCATTTCAGAGGATGTCTAGAGCCTTGAGACTTCATCTGCATATTAATTGCAAATATGATATTCTTGTACAAGGCTGCTTAGTGTTTTTATTCTTAATTAAAGACAACTGTATGTCTGATGTTTTCCCTCTGGCTATTAGTCATTGTATTTGCACACAGGGCATTTTATTTCCCTTGATTCTTAACTAATTTTTTCTCTGCCAACCTCATAAGAAACAACAGTGTTTATTTCCAAAAATTTGTGGCAAAAAATTACTATAATCATTGAAAAAAAAACCCAAGCCTCCCAGTGTATGGGAAAGTACAATGCCTTTATAAGGCAAGAATGCTAGGCAGGGAGAGACTGTTCCATTCTCCGAAAATGGCCAACTTTTCCCACTCCCCACTCTCTAAAAGAGGCTGAGACAGAATCAGAGAGGGCTTCTGATTGGCTGGCCCTTCAGATTTTACAATGTTTCCACTGAGAATTAACCTCCAAAAACTCACCCAGGAATCTCAGGCCCACAATGCTTGTGAATGTCTTTCTGGAAGTCAGCTGGCAGGTAAGAAGCCATCTACATCCTCATCCTCATCCTCCTGCATTTTACTTGCCTCTAAGCATAGCTTACATTAGACTTAAGAATTCTGTTTCCAGCCACAAACTTGATCCTTGTAATTCAATCATAATCAAGTTTCCAACGGGAAAAATCATTTGCAGAATACTTGCCTTTCTATTTTTGTTTCTGTTGTTATTTTTTTTCCTTGTAGAAATAATATTATATCTTAAATTCATTTCTTCACATTTCTGGAAACATAGAAAACATATTTTCCACCACCTAGGGTGTCAGGGTGGGCCATCTGACCAGGTCTGGAAAATGGAGTGTGGGAGAAATGATGTACTCTTTGCCCACGTTGACCCCATATAAAGCATCTCCCAGGTGTGAGCCTCCCTCTTTACTGGTGACATGTGAGGATAATTGTGTCCCAGGGTGGAAGCAGTCTGGACCCCCAACTATTCTTCAAGGAGCTCTCCCAGGACATCCAACCAACCAGAGACATCTGCATTGGAATTTGTGTGAATAAAAAGTTTTCTGTACAATATGACACTTTAGCATTGTGGAGTATAAGAGCTAGTAGATTTTTCTTTTTTACCTTAAACAATACAAAATTTTTTTTATTTGTATAGGAATGGTGATGGCCCTCAAAGGCTGAGTCCCTGTGAAGAAGAGAACATATTAAGATAATTTCAATTACACAGTAGCTTAAGAAATATTAAGTTGAGTCAGTCATATAATCCCTCTAAATCCAATCCTTTTCTTATCCTGCCTTCTTCAACCTCCAAATCCAATCAGCAGTGGAGAAAGCTATTTCTTGTTAGTCTTATGTACCTGCCCAAGCTGTGAGTGAGAATGGCAGAGTACTTCAGCAGGGCCACTGGTCTGAGAGCTGTGAAACTGAGTTGGAGTCCCAGTGGTGCACTGACCTGCTGTGGGACCATGAATAAGTGATTTCCCTCTTTATATTATAAGCACAAAGGTACACTTGTCATATCAAGAGTTTGAACTAATTTTAGCTGAGCTCTACTCTGCTCTTCACATATTTTTAGACTCAACTTCTCAAATTCAGAGCTTAAAACCCAGAAGCCTATGAATGTGCAAATGAATTTTATTTGGATTGCATCATGTCTTAAAAATAAATATATATATACCTATATATACATATATAATACCTATATATATATAAACTCAAGCTTAAGCTTCACCAACAGCATTTGCTTTTTTCCTATGACAACAAATAATTGGAGCTGAGTAGCCAGCTGCCCTGTTTAGATGAGGTGTGTGTTTTCTGTTTGACACAGTTCCCACTACTCCCTAATGTTACACATTGGGCTAATTCTATCCACCTGGCCAGTGTAGACATTGGAGTTTGCATCAAAGTTAGAGTTCACTTTAACCTTTCTTAAACCTGACAACACTAGGGATCCAGGAGGAAAGTCAATACTGAGACAGAACTTTGATACAAACTTGGCAAAGCCAGGATTTGCTGCCAGCTAAAGGAAACCAATCTTGAGAGCAAGCATCGGGGTCTGCATCTGTCTGACACCCTAGAGAAAGATGATAAGTTGAAGCAAAATAATTATAATCACTCATAAACAGTTTCAAATACACTATAGCATCTTTGCCACATCCTTGATAAGTCAGGCATCTTAAACTATTAAGTTCTTCTTCCATAAAAAAGAAAGAAAACAAAACAATGGAGACATTAAAAAGATCAGTGGTTGCCAGGGGTTGGGGTAGAAGAAGGGATGACTAGGGGAGCACAGACGATGTTTAATGCAGTGAAAGTACTCTGTGCGATACTATGGTAGATACCTGTCGTTATACACTTGTCCAGGTCCACAGAACCTACAACAGCAAGTGTAAATCCTAATGTAAACTATCGATTTTGTATGTCTATGGTGTGTCATTGTAGGTGAATCCATTGTAATAAATGCATCGCTCTGGGGATAATGGGGGCAGCTCTGCATGTGTGGGCACAGAGAGTATATGTGAGTATGTGAAATTGATGGGAAACTTAAACTGCTCTAAAAAATTGTCTTTAATTTTTTAAAAATTGAAAAACATAAAAGGGCCCATTTGAGAATTAAATGAGATGGTTTTTATGTAAACCACAGGGCCTAGTACAAAATAGCCTTCATTAAATGGTAGCCACCACTATCATCATAATTGGTAAAAGTGATTTGCAGGTATATAGCAATGAAACTTGACTGGGGAGGAGTTGTGAGATAAAAGTGGGGATCTGGGCTTCATTACTGGTACCTGGGGAGACACTTTCTATAAGGGAAAGGAAGGTAAATTTGCCAGCTCATACCTAAGTTTGTGCTTAACACTCATGTACAGGCAACCATCTATAATCCTCTCTCTTTCAAAACGTCAAGTAAAATGGGTAAAACCCTTGCTCAGTATCTTTCAGATCACATGCCACTCTTCTGAGAACTTTCCTATTTCAAACTTTATTTTAACTTGTTTTCACCCATATTATAAAATTGGGATCAAGGAGGAGAACCATAACAAAGAGAATGGTTAAGGAAACTAGTATTGACAAAGCACCCACTGTGTGCCCAGCACTGGGCTTGGTACTGTCCTCCTAAGAATACTGCACATTTGATGTTGTAAATTCCATTTGACTGATCATGAAACTCAGATTCAAAAAGGTTAAGTGACATTTTTTTTGTTTTGCTTTCATAAGTGCACTTATCAATACGTTAAATCCTTTTTAAAAAAAATCAATTGCTGGTTTGCTTTGCTGCCTATTTGCCCTACTCCGACATAGTTTCACATGAGATGAGATCCTATTTTCTTCCATATTTTATACCCAGTGCCTAAACAGTACTTGGCAACATAAATAATTGTTGAGTGCATGAATTTTTAATTAATGAGTGAATGAGTGAATGAAAACTGCCTAGAGATAATTTTGATTCCTGGCATGCCTGCTTCTAAGTCCACACTCGATCTATTTGACCATGAAGTTGACTGCTCAGAGGCTTCCTGGGTGATGTAACTGTGCCAGGGGAAGCACAGACATTACAGGCCTCTGGCCTTCCCATCTTTTTCCACTGGTTATGAAAAAAAAGGTGTTTTATCTCTCTCCTTCTTCCAAAAATGCCTCCTTTTGTAAGTTTTAAATACTAATGACATTAGTTGTTTCTATACTATCATCTATTTGCTGGAAATCTTTGTCCATGTGCCATATGTGAAGTATCAAGAAGAAGATGGCACTAATGCAGAGTCATCTACTGCCTCAGCCAAAAGCCTCTTGGACACTTCATCTGGGAGGAGGAGACATTCACAGGCATGGTTAGCCGGTCCTGAGCATGAATTAGACTTGGAAGAATGACAATTCAGGTTGCTATTCACATCTAGCAGTGCCAGGTCATCTTACCCCTGCAGATTTTACTGGCTCCATTGCAATGGAAGCATTAAATTAAAGGTGTTTTCTCATCCATACTCCCATTTTATCCTCAAAGAACTTCATGCATTGGGATTCACAATGATAGAGACAATAAAAATGCTATTTATTCATCCATGTATCATTATAATACTATTAAAATTAATGATGATAAGTTATGTATTGAATGACCACTGTAATGTAGCCACTCCATGGGCCCTTCAAAGTGTTATAGCATTTCACTGTCAGTGATGTTAGGTCCCACTTTGCAGGTCACAAAATAAGAGCTCAACAAAAAGTTATCAGCAGAGGTAGAGCTCAGACACTTGAATTATATTTTTAATGAGCCATGCAAAATCTTGGCCTCTACATTTATTCCACACAAATGTAATGAAGTCTTAATATGTTCTGGGTTCCCAGGTAAATATAAGGATGCAGAGCCAAGCAGTTTGGTATGGGGGAGATAGCACAGCCATTAGTGTCATGGAGACCTGGCACTTTAATTCCTAAGCCTGTGACCAGAATCAAATTTAGTAGCATTTCTCAACCTCTATTTTCTCATTTGCAAAATAGGAACACTGATACCTGCTGTCTACCTTGCCATGAGACTTAAAACAGATAATGTGCGTAAAATGTTTTGCATTGTGTTTTCCCTTCCTGCCACCTGTCAACGACACAGTCATTTCTTCAAGGAGTTTGCATTCTAGAAACACGGTTTAGGTGCGTACCTCAAGGTCTGCCAACAAAGGGCAAATGCCAAAACATATATTCTCGTGGGTGGCTCTTTTAACCTCAAACACGCACAAAGAGGTGGGGATTTTTCTGACGTTTTCCAACTATCCTTAAACATGACTGTCAATAACGCTAATGAGGATCTCACCAGCCACCGTATTTCATTAAAAGTAAAGATTTTGTCTTAAAACAGTAATATATTGCTGTTGTTCATTCAAGAAAATTATCTTCCTTTTGGACAGAGGATAGCTATTGGGTGGGAGATGGGAACAAGACAGCAAACTACAAAATAAACGTAGTCCATGTCATAAAGTACACCAAATACCATACTAAAGTTTCTGATTTTCATTAGAAAAGGGAACAAAGAGGAAACCAACAGTTTCAGAAGACAAATGATACATTCAGTTTAATGAGATATGGATCCAGCCTTCAAGGAAATCCTGGTAACTACAGCACCCAGCATGTATTATGAAAGAACCTACAGATATCTGATCTCCCCAACCTGATTTTGGGATTCACAATGATAGAGACAATAAAAAAGCTATTCACCCATGTATCATTATAATAATATTAATAATAAAATTAATAATGATAAGTTATGTATTGAATGACCATTATAACGTAGCCACTCTATGGGCCGTTCAAATTGTTATAGCATTTCACTGTCAGTGGCTAAAACTTAGCAAGGTCCCAGTCAGTGTTTTATTATAATGATGATGCTTAAGTGGCTTAAATCCAAGACATATCCCAGCTTAGTGGGGTTGCAGCTCTGTTATGTTTTATTGATCACTGTCAGAGATTTCCAGAACTTTGATGTAATAGGGCAGCATGATAGAGTGAAATTCAACAGAGTGGAGCTCTTGTCCCGCCTTAATTATTGTCAACTCTCTGAATCTTAGTTCCCTCATTTGTAAAAATTAAGACTTGTCTGGATGCTCTTCCAAATCCTACTCAGCTTAAACAGTCTGACATTCTGAGAGGAATGGCTGATACTTTCCTGAAGATCTTAATCCTTTGGTAACAGTGGTAGTTATGTCATTTGTTTCCTGGGAACCTGACATAGCGCCCCCTCCAGCTGAGCAGAGAAGCTCTTGGCCCATTCTGTACATGACCCTGCTGGACTTTCCAATTGTGTTAATTGGATGCTTTGAACCAGAGAGACCTGCACCTGGCTTCTCCCATGAGCAAGATCACACATTCTCCAAATAAAATGAGAGAGTGGTTGTCTCCATATGAGGTTGGCTGGTTTTTGTGGATTTGCACCCTCTACTGTGGTCTAATTTTCACATCACTTAGTGCTTGCATGAAAGCGTTTCACATTTCTAGGAAAAACGATTTCATCTCTCCTCATCCAATACAATTTTTCCCACACTACCATAGATATCATTATCACATCTTTCAACCCTTACTATCAGACCTTAAAAGTAAATAAACAGATAAGTACATCATTTATGCAGCTACAGAAGATAAGGATTTAAGTGCAACACCACTCACTGATACAGAAAGTGAAAAATAAGACTACCCGACACTGGAGAGGGATAACCAAAGGACATCTTTAAGACAGTTGTCAAAGATGAATTTTTAAACCCATCAAATTTGTCAAAGATAGATTTTCAGAGGGGATGAGTAACCATTTTGAAACCCAAGATGAGACCAAGAAGGATTAACATTTTAACTCTAGTAAATGAAGTTCAGGGTGGATAGTTATTGAATATTTACTATGTGCCAGGCTTGGTTATTGTCTTAGTCCATTTGGCTGCTATAACAGGTTACCATAAGCTAGGTAGCTTATAAACAAGAGAATTTTATTTTCTACACTCTGGAGGCTGGGAAGTTCAAGATTAAGGTGCCAGCAGATTAGGTGTCTTGTCAGGGCCCTCTTCTTGCTTCATAGAGGGTTTCTCCTCACTGTGTCCTCAGATAGTGGAAGGAATAAGGCAACTCTTTGGGGCCTCTCATACAAGGGCACTAATCCCATTCATGAGGGCTTCACCTCATGACCTAATTACCTCCAAGGGCCTCATCTCCTAATATCAGCACCTTGGAGATTAGTTTTCAATGAATGAATTTGAGGGAGACACAAACATTCAGCCTATGGCAATAATAATCTGTTTACTTGTGCTATTTTATTTAATCCTCACAGCAATTCCATCAGATAATAGTTATAATATCCCCCTTTTTACAGAAACATGAATTAACGTATAGATTAGTTCAGAACTTTTTTTAAGGTCACCAGCTTGAAAAAGTCAGATGCAGAAATTAAACCCCCAACAGCCTGACCCACACCTTCGCTTTTACCACAAACCTATAAGCCAGCTGCCCGGAAGGGTTGGAAAATGTGAACCATGTTATGTTTCCTCTGGTTTCTTTTGGTTTCTTAACATAGCATCTTTTTGCAGCTCTGGTTTCTGTCTAAATTCAGTGCACTTTTGCTCTCTTCAGAATAAGTCCTGACTTCATAATGGGTGACAGTGACCCACTGGAGGAAAAATGACTCCCACAATCTAGCATTTCTTCTGTCTACTACCCCCAGGACTCAGCGTCAGCATTTCCTAAGTTAAATTACACCGCGGACTTCTCTCCATTCCCTGACAGCAGGACAGATAGCCCCAATGTGAGCTTAATTACTTCTGCAGTTATGTGGACACAATTTTGCTACAAATCATCTTGGGCCAATAAACCAAGGTCTGTCTTTACGCCAAAACATAATAAAATCTTCCAGAAGAGGAGCAGCTTCCTTCATATAAATAGAACCAGGCCTTCATTGGTTGCAACCAGCCACTTACTTTAGAGTTGGGGGAAGGTACTGTGAAGAATTATTAACAATTTTTGGAACAAGTACATTTATTCAGCATATTTATTTTTTAAAAAGACATTGGAAGAAAACATTTTCATCTGGAGTGTGAAGTGACAGATAACAGCAGAAATCTATGGGAAGCTGGTTACAAACATATTGCTCTACCCTGCGTTTGTAAGAAGATGGTGAATGGAGAGTAAAGTTTGTAGAGGAGTCATCCTTCAAAAAACAATTCTGTGACTTGCAACCTTACAGAGTGAAAAGGACTTTTAAGGAAAGTCATATTCTGATATTCCAGCAACACTCAATGACTGATAATCACCTCCCTTCAGTAACACACCTCTGTGAAGATGAAAGATAGAACAACACAGAGAAGGGATCATAGTGCAGCTCCCTTTCACAGTTCCCAGAAACAGAGTATTTATGGAATCAGATGAGGGGCAGAGCTAAAGCTAAGGTCTCTTTTCTTCAAGGACTTGAAGAAGAATAGAGTGGCTATCAGGGAACATTTTCCTATATATTACACCTGAAAGGTCATTATTTCACTTCTCTTTTATCTAAAATTGCGATTTTTCTTAATGGCATATTTGTGGTTTGGGAGCCTGGCAAAGTATTGGAGAGAGAAAAATAGGTTTTACGACTTAGAAGGAATATCAAAAGCCACTAAGCTTTATTTGTAATGTAAAAATAATAATTCAATAATCATGTGTTGATCGTGAACCCCAGGATGCAGAACTCAAAGAGACCCCAGATGTCACCTAACCCCAGTGGAGCAGGCTCTGTTTCTCAAGTTCTTTACAGCTTGAGAAACAGGGGCTGCTTGGTGGTCCAGCCCTGACCTGGGACCTCTGGGTGAGACAGCACTCTCTAGTCACACTAAAAAGGTTTCTTATATTGGACCTCCATGTTACTTTCATCTCTTTGCCCTAGCAACCCTTTGTAGAGTAATATTTGAAGAAATACATTCAAGGTGTTTACATCCCCAAGGGACATCCTAGCTCCTTACTATCCTAGTTACCTCCTCTGGTCTCTGTCTGGTTTCTCAATCTCCATTTTAAAATGTCATGTTATGAACTAGAAACAGACTTAAGAACTAAGGAATACTAGAAAATTAAAGGTTTTATCAAATGAACTCTTTGCAAAGAAAGAACTGGCATCCTCAGGGTACTTAGGGAGGTTGTTTGGAAGAAGCATATTTTAAATCACGACATGCAAGGGAAGTGAACATCAGTGAATGAAAAACTATCAGGATGGCTTTCCTGATAGGGGGAAATGGGAGGGGGAAGGGCTGGGTGGTAGAAAATTGTACTAGCCAAAACAGAAAGATAAATGTGAGAGAGGAGAGTGAAGCGAAAAAAAGGCTTAGAAAGGTCCACTGTCTTTATCTTGGCCATTTAAGTTCTGAGATCATCCAGGCATTACCTTTCATTTTGGAGATGCAGAGATGACCTGTGACTTGTAGGCAGTTAAAATTACTTAGGGACACTTTCTAGGACTAGAATTCAGATCTCCTAATTTCTAGTCTAGTGTAAAACGGTCTGAAAATTAAGTTGAAATGATTGCTTAAGCCTGTTCTGGTGCTAGATTTAGCAATGTGACAACCTGAAACAGAAAAAAAGATTATGTCTAAAGGAAAAGAAGGAAAGAAAGAAAGAAAAGACGATAAAAACCCACAAAATAAAGCAAAGAAGTCTAATAATCCCGGAGGAATTTTTGCCCATGATGACTCTTTTGTGATGCTTCTTTTGAAATATCAAAACAAATTTTCACATGTCATTTCCATGGCCTCTGTTTCCCTTCCACATTCATGGTGATACTAGTTGGTGTTTATTGAGTCTGGTATTGCCCAGCTTCACTCAACTGGTTTGTGAAAAAGGTGCCAAAGAGCAGAGCCTGGGCTGCAGTGGAAGCTACAAAATGAATTTCCTGTTTGGGGAGGCAAATGCCACATTCCACAAGCAGCACAAGGTAGAATTCCCTCAGGAAATAATGGATGTGGTGCAAGTGGTAATAAAATAGATTTCTGAGCGTTAGGTAATACATGGGTGCTGGTGAAGCCAAGGACAATTTACTGGAGGTTTAACAGAGTTCAGAGGAAGTGGAAAGGCATTCAGGGAGCACTGTAAGAGCAAAACTAAATTGTAAATTGTGTGGAATAATGAGGTGAGTTGAGGAACATTAGGAAATGTGGCAAATTGGGGACTATGGTGGTGGTCTGTGGAAAATGTAAATACTACATCTTCAAAAATGTTTACTTAGTATATAGTACATGCCAGCCATGCCAGGCACTGTGGTGGGTGCTGGGGAATCACTGGAGAGCAAGATCCATGAACTTTACAATCTAGGAAGCAACATTTTCCATTACGAAGGCACAACAAAGAGTAAATGTGATGAGAGACCAAGCATCAAGAGCTATGTGAGCATCACAGAAGCATCTAGCCCAGCCTCAGAAGAGTAGTCAAGGAAGTTTTTACAAAAGCTGTGATGCTTCAGCTGGACCTAAAGGAAAATTAGGAATTAGGAGAGAAGAGGAGTATTCAGGGTGGAGGAGGGACTAGCATGTGCAAATGTACAGAGGCAAAAGATAGCAACCTGGAAGATGTTTAGTGTCATCTGAAGTGGTGTGAAGGGAAGAAAGTTATATGAAAATATGCTGAAAAGGAAGGTGGGAGCTGGTCATGGGCCTTCAGCAAACCCATTAAAGGCAGCACTATGGACAGACAACAGCAAACCAATGAGCATCTTAAAGATCCTGCCTTGATGGTGTTTACAGCACAGTGGAGTGACAGATAAGTCATTAAGCATTTACAAAGGCATATGCTAAGTACCACGACATGGATATGCACAGGCAGAAGACTGACAAAGTAAATGAATTCATGGATTTTGCCTACAATTTATCCTCACTCATCCACAAATAAGTATTAAGTTCTTTCTATTATGTTGGGCACTGGGAATATGGAAACATATGAGAATCATTTCCTGTTCTTAAGGAACTCATCTCCTGAGATGACATAAAAGAAAGTCAACCTTTATATCCAAGCATGGTAAGTGTCCTGGCAAAGATACTCAGGCGCAATGGGAGGAGAGAGAAAGAAAATACACCATCCTGGGGACAAGAGGAGGCTATAAGGTAGAAATGAAGAGTTGGTCATTTATTAAAGACAAGGTAGGAGTTAGTTCTATGGGTAGGAGCAACCCGTCTGGGCAGATGGACTGGTGCACACATCTGTCAGTGTGAACCTTCACGCATACAGTGTTGCAGTACATATGGAAATGCTCTGTGACATGGCTCATAGCACAACGGCTCTCCATTATGGGCCACCATAATTTCACTTTAATAGACCTCAAATCAGTTGTCTCCTGAGAGTGGACCATATATTCAGATGGTCTCTCTGGCCATGATTTCACCACTTGTCTTCATGTTTTAATCACACACTCTAATAAAACACGAGCCTTTTAAAGACAGTCAATCATTCAGAGATCAAAGTCACATGGGAGGGTTTGGTTGTCTGCCAAATTAAAACCTGGCCTTGAATTGCAAGGGAAAGAAAGATTGCCCTTAAGATAAATATTTGGAGTATAGGAGATACAACTAGACTGTGATATTTTTAAGTTATGGAATATCGCGTTTGAAGCTGCAGCTCCTGGGGATATCTATTCTTTTGTTTGCTTAAAATTTAAAAGAAAATGCATGGAAAAATAATGAGTCTTAAGAACACAATATTAGTAGGAAAATCTCAAGATAAACTTTTGTTCTGAACAAATATGAAGTAAGAACGAAATGTAAATGGTAAAATTAAAGTCAGAACTTTTGTTCTAACTTTTAATGTCCTAGTTAAGGCATTGGGCTACAGAGGAAATAAAAAAGTGGTATTGGCATATTTTTTCTTGCTTTTAATCTTGTGTCAAAAATAAAGGTAAATTTCCACCTGCCTCAGAAATTTTCTGTGATAAGTAGGAAGATCACTAGATTCAGGATGCCTGGAATTCTGCCTAAATATCCTAATTGTATCTCAGCCTCAAATTTTTCATCTTCTAAAAGGAAACTCATCACAGTAGCATTAATGGCAAGATCAACTTTCTAAGCCTCAGTTTCTTCATCTGCAATGTGAGACAGTGATATTAATCCAAAGCTGGCAGTTAGTAGCATAAGGGACAAAATAGAAATAATTGCTACTGGCTGCCCAGGGTTGGTTCTCAGAAGGATGCTAAAATAATAACATCCAGGCCCAGATGAAGAGTTCAGTGATTAATTAATAAAATCAGGAAATAGGCCAAGCTAAATTATATTTCACTGTAATATTCATTGCCTTGAAAGAACAATTTTTTTTTTTTTTTTTTTTTTTTTTTTGTACACAAGTCTCGCTCTGTCACCAGGCTAGAGTGCAGTGGCGTGATCTCGGCTCATTGCAACTTCCGACTTCCGAGTTCAAGCTATTCTCCTGCCTCAGCCCCCCGAGTAGCTGGGATTACAGGCATGTGCCACCATGTCCAGCTAATTTTTGTATTTTTAGTAGAGACAGGGTTTCACCATGTTGGCCAGGATGGTCTTGATCCCCTGACCTTGTAATCCGCCCACCTTGGTCTCCCAAAGTGCTGGGATTACAGGCGTGATCCACTGCGCCCGGCCAAGACACAAGCTACTAAGGGAGAGAGAAAGGTAAATGAGGGAGCAGAGCATTTAGGACTTTACATCTGAAGTACCTATAGATTCCAGGAGCATATCCATATAATATAGAGTGTCCAAACGTCCCGGATCTCCAAGGGGTTTTGTGGGTCAAGTAGGGCCATCAAGGAGTAGCTGATACACTCTATTTTCACATACCAGTTTTTCAGAGTTGACCGTCACTATTTTATATTCAAGGACAAAGACTTGAGCAAATGTGATGGTACAATTCAAAATAACTCGAAAGCTCTGCGTGAAGAATTAAATGTAAGATAATATTGCCGCTTCATTTATCAACAGACCACTTACTCTTATTGCTGCAGGCAATTGTTAAAGAGCCTACGGCATGTTTGACTTAAATTCTCAAATACCTGAGGAATTTCTCATGGGCACAGGCCTGTATAACCTACTCTTCTGTCTAGTATGGTGCTCAGCATACAGTAAGTGATACATTAATTATTCAGTCCATGAATAGATCTTCTAATTTTATAACTGATACATTTTAACCAGAGATGGGTGAACTTAAACATTGTTCAAATGCTGCATATTCTCTTAACTCTTAGCCCAATTAATTAATATCTAAAACTCTATTACTCAAAAGTCATCCTAAACTGCCACTTCGAACCTATGAGAGATGGCTATTATTTTTAAAAAATTAAAATTCCAGAAGACAACAAGTGCTAGAAAGGATGAAGAGAATTGGAACACTCGTACATTGCTGGTCGGACGCAAAATGATACAGCAGCTGTGGAGAATAGTTTGGTGGTTCCTCAAAAATAAAAAAATAGAATCAACATATGATTCAGCATTCTATTTCTGGGTATATACCCAAAATAATTAAAGGCAAGGACTCAAACAGATATTTGTACACCAATGTTCATACCAGCATTATTCCCAATAGTTAAGGAGGAAGCAACCCAATGTCTATGGATGGATAAATCAATAAACAAAATGTGTTATACACACACAAGGCAATATAATTTAGCCTTAAAAAGGGTACATGTGGGCCAGGCACAGTGGCTCACACCTGTAATCCCAGCGCTTTGGGAGGCCGAGGTATGCAGATCACTTGAGACCAGCCTAGCCAACATGGTGAAACCCCATCTCTACTAAAAATACAAAAATTAGCTGGGCATGGTGGTGTGTGCCTGTAATCCCAGCTACTTGGGAGGCTGAGGCAGGAGAATCACTTGGGAGGTTGAGGTTGCAGTGAGCCGAGATCACGCCACTGCACTCCAGCCTGGGCAGCAGAGCAAGACTCTGTCTAGGAAAAAAAAAAAAAGTACATGCTATAATATAAATGAACCTTGAAAACATTATACAAAGTGCTGTAAGTATTTTGTCCTCACATATACAGATACCTAGAATAGTCAAATTCATAGATGCAAAAAGTAGAACAGTGGTTATCAAGGGCTGGAAGAAATAGGACGTGAGAAGGTATGATGCTTAACAGCTACAAGGTTTCCGTTTGGGAGGATGAAAAAGTTCTGGAGATCGATAGTGATGATAGTTGCAAAACAATGTGAATGCACTAAACACCACTGAATTGCACACTTAAAACTGGTTAAAATGGTAAATTTAATACTATGTATATTTTACCACATGTTTAAAAGCCAAAAGCTAACTCCTATAAGAATAACAGCTTTAAAAAATGTTCCTAAATTAATATAAAAATATGACACTTCCGTCCTCTCTTCAACAATCTGGTAAGTAATGACTTAAAATTTTCTAGAGAAGTTTTTTCAGCACTTTCTCACTCAGTTCTCTAGTATCTTTAGCCATGCTGATTTTTAACTGTGACTAAAATAGGGATAAATTGACAACATATAGTTAGAATTGTTCACAGTAGAATAAGGATCAATTGATTTAGTAAAAGAAATACAAACTTTCAGCCATGTGGGAGTACTTGCAAATTTAGGATTATTTACAAACAGAACTGCATATACCTCGATCATTTCTACGTGTATCTCAGTAGCTCCTGCGTTGTAATTCTGTGGTGTATGAAAGTGAGCATGCCTCAAGGTCGACCTTGAGTTAGCAAGAACATGCTTAACTATTTCAGGACTTATGTATTTTCAGTACTTAAAGAATACTAGAATGCTATGTAATTATAGATCCCCATCCAAGAAAAGAATGGTCATTAAAAATAAAGGTTTAGGATATAAAGATATGAGTTGACTTTATTTAGAAACATGGGTTGTAAGGGACCAAGCCCCACTGATGGATGATACTGAATGAGATTATATTGCACTAAGTAATAAGCAAATAAAGGTTGGCAAGGCCTCAGAGATGTTTGAGGCAAAGAACAGGAGTAATTTTAATCAACATCATTCTATACATTATCAGATATTTTATTCACAGATTTAAAGATATATGACAGGTGATTTGTTTTACTATGATTATTCCTGACTAGTGGTTTAAATCAAGCTGATTTAAACCAAGTTGATTTAAACTACTAGTCAGGAATAATCATAGTAAAAAAATTTCTTCCTCAGAAAAGTACATTTTTATTATTTTACATGGCCATAATACATATTCTTCACAACTCATATAAGATTTAGAAGTCATGGCCGAGAGCGGTGGCTCATGCCTGTAATCCCAACACTTTGGGAGGCTGAAGAGGGCGGATCACAGGTCAGGAGCTCGAGACCATCCTGGCCAACGTGGTGAAACCCCGTCTCTACTAAAAATACAAAAATTAGCTGGGCATGGTGGCATGCACCTGTTGTTCCAGCTACTTGGAAAGCTGAGGCAGGAGAATCGCTTGAACCCAGGAGGCGACCTGGGCAACAGAGCAAGGCTCTGTCTCAAAAAAAAAAAAAAAAAGATTTTAGAAGTTATTACTGGATGATGTACAGAGTACTCATTTAAAAGTGGTGAATTGTTTGTGTATGGTTTTTGAAGCATCATCAAAGAAATGGATAAATAACTTTGTTGTTTTACTTTTCAAATATAACTGAAGAGGATATTGGCAAAACCATTAGAAAAGGAACCTCCAATTTAACTGGTTAATTAATGATATTTGTCAATATTACCAAAAACAAAGACTTTAAAACTTGATTGATTCATTTCCAAATAAATGAAAAAGTACATGCAGACTGGCTATCATTCTTAAGCAACAAAAATATAAGTATAATGTTTTTAAAATCAAGTTATATTTATATAGCATTTTCCCATGAATAGTTTCATGTATGCAGGCATATACATTTTTATATATAGACATATTATAATATATATTATATAAAATAATACCTATTGGTTATCACTGTAATGGCAAATGGGAAATTTTAAAAATTTTATTGGCAATGTTAACGAGAGCAATATAGAATATTTTAAATGTTGAGTTATGCATCTAACTCAACCTTCCTCTTGTTAATTCATAGACTGAAAAAGAAGGCAAGGCTTTCTTTGCATTTTTAATTTTCAGTTTTTCAATTTAAAGTATAATAGGGCCAAAGGAGGACAACTTCTAGTCCATACTTAGAGAAAAAAGCAATGCTGTGGAAGTGAGATCATCTTCATGAATCCAGATAAGAAATAAAACTTGAGTGATTGTCAAGCACCAGAAACTTTCTGTCTACTACTCAATTAACCTCAGAGCAGGGCAATGAGATGCATACTACTGTCTCAGTTCTACAGATAAGTAAACTGAGCCTAAAGGTCTCACTAGCTGTATATGACCTCACAGCTAGTAAACTGCAGGGCCTCTGCTCTTCCCACACTGTGAGTTTATATTTTAGGAGGCGTTAGGATGTAACACAGGACCATGCTACATTTATAAACATTTTCTTATTAAAGTCAATAAGTGCTTGGTAGCAAGTAATATATATTAGGAATTATCTCTCTATTATAATACTATTATGGAATTTTAATTTTAATTAAGTTTAAATAGACAATTTAAATATATGAATATATGCTAAATCCAATATATTAATGGAGCGCCTTTTATGAGCAAGCATCTGGTACAAAAATGTGTGTAGACATAATCCCTTAAAGGACTGACAATTTATTGTGGAAAATAGAAAATGAATTATGACCTAGGTACATTGAGTTACACGCTATGGCAAAGACATACACAAAGTTAAGGTATAAAAGGGGAAAAAGTCTTTCATGTAGATTTGTTATTTGGCAAAGCAATTAGGTGAAAAATAATTGAAGAAAGCTGATATAAATAAAAATTATGATTTTATATATTTAATGGCTTTGATGTCTATGGCTTGAGGATATAACTTGACTTACAAAGAAATTCTGAGAAGTATGTCTTCAGCCATGAAAATCAGTAGTAAGTTTATCTCTACTGAGAATGGGGAAAATATAAACTTGTTTTAACTGAGGTGAGGAATTTTTGATAGATGGGGAAGGGCTTTCTGATGTATGAATTTAACGTTGGAATGCGGCAGGTCAATCCTGTGCTTTACTTTTTGTAAAGTGCTTTTGCGTATCCTATTCCTCACTAGATTTTCTTGCAATGTAGATAGATAGAGAGGTTTTTTATTCTAGATAAATTAATCAAGGATAAGCTATTCATCAAGGTTCACATGGCTGCTAAATGATGGAGTTAAGGCTCACATCTAGGATTCCTTAATTTGTAAATTTTCAAATACAAGTAAAAGATCCATACAATTTAAAAGTGGTTCTGATTAGAAGGTAGAAAATAAGTGAGAAACACAGAATTTTAGTGCTGGAAACTTTAGAAATTGTATTCAGGAGTTGCAAACTAAGTGTCTTAAAGGGTTGGGTGGGTAGGCAGGTAATGTAAAAGTAGATGAAGCTGGTGGTTAACTACAGTTGCTGAGTTCTGTGAAGCAGTCAGAACAATCTAGATTATGCTGCAGTAACAAACAACTTCCAAACCTTAGGGACTTAGACTATGACATGCCATTGTAGGTCAACAAGAAAAGTGGCTCCATGTCTCCTTACTCCCATATCCAGACTGATGAAACGGTCCCTATTCATAATGCTTACTGTTGCTGAGACAGAGAGGAGATAATGTAGTGAATGACATACTGCCTCTTAAGACTACTCAAAAGTGGTACACACCCCTGTTCACATTTCATAGGTCAAAATAATTCTCGTAACCATGTCTAATTTTAACTAGGAGAAGGGCAGGGGAGCACAGGAAGTGGCATCCTACCATGTATTAGAAGGTAGAGAGTCAATAATATTCAGTGATGAGGAATTATGACCACAGGCTCCCCTCCTGCTCACCAAATGTTGAGTTCACTCTCCTTTTTAAACACAAAATACATTCTCCCTGCCACTAAGGGATATAGCCCTAGAATCTCATCTGCTCAAAGTATCGAGCTGAAGGTCTGCACCATCTAGGTGTTGTGTGGAGTCTCTTGATCTAGAGATCTACGAACGAAAATGTTATCTGCCTCCTCCACACAACCAACATACACTGGTGTAACAGAGGCAGAAAAACTGCAATGAACACTCCCCTTCAAAATGTATAATAGGAGTTGGACAGCTAACTCAGGTTTATAAATATGCTGAAATCCCAAAGGGCAGAAATTTGCAAGGACTACCTTCATTAAGGATCCGAATGTTCTTAGATCAGATTAGACACTGATTCCATTCCTTGCAAGGAACCCCTAAGCACCTTGCTCTCTGTGGCCCTTGGTTCTGCTTTCTAGAAGGATCTTCCTCAGTATCTTTGCCCACATGCAAAGCCAGCATTAGAGAATATACATTCTTTGGGGCTGAGTAGTTTTTTCAGTCTACTTCCTGATCACAGAAAGTTTGAGGACCCAAGGATTAGGTTAATATTTGTATTATAATCCCAGATTGTTTAGTATATGCTGAAAGTTTCTTTAGTTGTATAACTCTTATGAAAACTTACCAGGTCTTTTGTCAGGGTTTCCTAGAGAAACAGAGCCAAACAGGATGTATATATATATATGGAGATAAAGTTATTGATTATGAGAAATTGGCCCACGATTATGGAGGCTGAGGAATTCCTGAAATCAACAGTTGGAAAGGTGGACATCCAAGAGATCTAATGGTATGGTTTCAGTCAAAAGGCCAGCAGGCTCAAGACTCAAGAAGAACACATGATTCACTTCTAGTCTGGAGGTAGGAAAAGAGCAATATTCCAGATCAAGACAATCAAGCTGGATTGATTGAGTGGGAGAGAGGCTCAGCCCTCCGAGAGGGAGTGTCTTCCGAGAGGGAGGGTCTGCCTTTTTGTTCTATTCAGGCCTTCAACTGACTGCATGAGCCTCACCCACATTATGGAGGGCAATCTCCTTTACCCAATCTACCAGTTCAAATGTTAATCTTATCTCAAAACACCCTCGCAGTCACATCTAGAATAATGTTCAGTTATCTGGGCATTCTGTGAACCAGTCAAGTTAACAAATAAAATTAACTGGCTTACCAGGCTTATTAATTATATTCTAATTGATATAATTTGGGGTTTCTCTTTGTGATTATACTACACAGATTATGTATAAATGCACATGTGTGTATTGTGCATGTATGTGTTTGCTTTCTCAGCCCCATGATTCTTGCTCTTGTGTTCTTGATTTATTTGTGTGTACCTTAAGTTCAACAAGATTCAGTGGATAAGCTGTTCTTGTTGTTTCTTCTATAAGCCCTGTTTTTTCAATTGAGAGATGCACTGGTGATAGGGCTTGACTGTGTCCCCACCCAAATCTCAAATTGTAGCTTCCACAATTCCCAAGTGTCATGGGAGGGACTTGGTGGGAGGTCATTGAATCAGGAGGATGAGCATTTCCCATGCTGTTCTTGTGATAGTGAATAAGTCTCATGGATCTGATGGTATTCTAAAGGAGAGTTCCCCTGCACATGCTTTCTCTTGCCTGCCATCATGTAAAACATGACATTTTCCTCCTGTGCATTCTGCCATGATGGTGAGGCCTTCCAAGCCACATGGAACTGTGAGTCCATTAAACCTCTTTTTCTTTATAAATTACCCAGTCTCAGGTATGTCTTTATTATCAGTGTGAGAACAGACTGATACAGTAAATTGGTACTGCTACAGTGGGGTGCTGCTGTAAAGATAACTGAAAATGTGGAAGAGACTTTGGAACTGGGTTACAGGCAGAGGTTGGAAGAGTTTGGAGGGCTCAGAAGTAGACAGGAAGATATGGGAAGATTTGGAACTTCCTGGAGACTTGTTGAATGGCTTTGACCAAAATGCTGATAGTGATTTGGACAATAAGGTCCAGACTGAGGTGGTCTCAGATGGATATGAGTAACTTTTTGGGAACTGAAGTAAAGATCACTCTTACTATACAAAGAGACTGGAGGTATTTTGCCCCTACCCTAGAGATCTGTGGAACTTTGACCTTGAGAGAGATGATTTAAGGTATCTGGTGGAAGAAATTTCTAAGTGGCAAAGTGTTCAAGTGGAAGAAGAGCATAAAAGTTTGGGAAACTTGCAGCCTGACAATGCAATAGAAAAGAAAAACCCATTTTCTGGGGATAAATTCAAGCCTGCTGCAGAAATTTGCATAAGTAATGAGAAACCCAATGTTAATCACCAACACAATGTGGAAAAATCTTCAGGGTATGTCAGAGACCTTCACAGCAGCCCCTCCCATCACAAGCCTGGGGGCCTAGGAGGAAAAAATGGTTTCATGGGCTAGGCCTAGAGCCCCCCTTCTGTGTGCAGCCTAGAGACTTGGTGCCCTGCGTCCAGCTTCTCCAGCCATGGCCAAAAGAGGCCAAGGTACAGCTCAGGCCATGGCTCCAGAGAATGCGAGCCCCAAGCCTTGGCAGCTTTAATTTGGTGTTGAGCTGGCAGGTGCTCCAAAAGTCAAGAATTGAGGTTTAGGAACCTCCACCTAGATTTCAGAGGATGGATGGAAACTCCTGGATGTCCAGGCAGAAGTTTGCAGCAAGGGCAGTGACCTCATGGAGAACCTCTGCTAGGCCAGTGCAGAAGGGAAATGTGGAGTTGGAGCCCCCACACAGAGTCCCCACTGGTAAACTGCCTAGTGGAGCTGTGAGAAAAGGGCCACCATCCTGCAAAACCCAGAATGGGAGATCCACTGACAGCTTGCACCATGTGCCTGGAAAAGTCTCAACTCAACACCAGCCCATGAAAGCAGCCAGAATGGATATTGTACCCTGCAGAGGCAGAGGGGCAGAGTTGCCCAAGATCATGGGAACCCAGCTCTTGCATCATCATGACCTGGAAGTGAGACATGAAGTCAAAGGAGATCATTTTGGAGCTTTAAGATTTGACTGCTCTGCTGGATTTCAGACTTGCATGGATCCTGAGGACCTTTTGTTTTGGACAATTTCTCTCATTTGGAATGGATTTATTTACCCAATTCCTATACCCCCTTTTTACATAGGAAGTAACTAACTTGCTTTTGATTTTACAGGCTCATAGGGTGAAGGGACTTGCTTTGTCTCAGATGAGATTTTGAACTATAGACTTTTGAGTTAATGCTGAAATGAGTTAAGACTTTTGGGGACTGCTGGGAAAGCATAACTGGTCTTAAAATATTAGGACATGAGATTTGGTAGGGTCCAGGGGTGAAATGATATGGTTTCGCTGTGTTCCCACCCAAATATCGAATTGTAGCTCTCACTATTCCCACATGTCCTGGGAGGGACCTGGTGGGAGGTAATTAAATCATGAGGGAAGGTCTTTCCCATGCTATTCTCTAAAGGTGAATAAGTCTCACAAGATCTGATGGTTTTATAAAGATGAGTTCCCCTGCACATGCTCTCTCTGGCCTGCCACCATGTAAGATGTGACTTTCCTCCTCCTTTGATGAGCTCCTTAGATGAGCCTTCCACCATGATTGTGAGGACTCCCTAGCCTTGTGGAACTGAGTCCATTAAACCCCCCTCCCTTTTTTTTAACTTTAAGTTTCAGAATACATGTGCAGGTCTGTTGCATAGGTATGTATGTGCCATGGTAATTTGCTGCATCTATTGACCCATACTCTAAGTTCTATCTCCTCGCCCCCAACCCCCGACAAGCCCTGGTGTGTGTTGTTCCCTTCCCTGTGTCCATGTGTTCTTATTGTTCAACTCCCACTTATGAGTGAGAACATGCAGTGTTTCATTTTCTGTTCCTGTGTTAGTTTGCTAAGGATGATGGCTTCCAGCTTCAACCATGTCCCTGCAAAGGACATGATCTCACTCTTTTTTATGGCTGCATAGAAACTGAACCCCTTCCTTACACCTTATACAAAAATCAACTCAAGATGGATTCAAGATTTAAATTTAAAACCCAAAACCATGAAAACCCTAGAAGAAAACCTAGGTAATACCATTCAGGACATAGGCATGGACAAAGACTTCATGACAAAAAAGCCAAAAGCAATTGCAACAAAAGCTAAAATTGACAAATGGGATCTAATTAAACTAAAGAGCTTCTGCACAGTGAAAGAAACTATCATCAGAGTGAATAGGCAACCTACAGAATGGGAGAAAATTTTTGCAATCTACCAATCTGACAAAGGTCTACTATTCAAAATTTACAAAGAACTTACACAAATTTACAAGAAAAAAAACAAACAACCCCTAAAACAGTGGGCAAAGGATATGAGCAGACACTTCTCAAAACAAGACTTTTAGGTGGCCAACAAACATGAAAAAAAGCTCAACATCACTGATCATTACAGAAATGCAATTCAAAACCACAGTGAGATACCATCTCACGTCAGCCAGAATGGTGATTATTAAAAAGTCAAGAAACAATAGATGCTGGCAAGGTTGTGGAGAAATAGGAACACTTTTACCCTGTTGGTGGGAATGTAAATTAGTTCAATCATTGTGGAAGACAGTATGGCGATTCCTCAAGGATCTAGAACCCAGAAATACCATTTGACCCAGCAATCCCCTTACTGGGTATACATCCATAGGAATATAAATTATTCTACTATAAAGACACATGCAAACATATGTTTATTGCAGCACTATTTACAATAGCAAAGTCATGAAACCAACCTAAATGCCCATCAATGATAGACTGGATTTAAAAAAATATGGTACATATACACTATGGAATAAACCTCTTTTTCTTCATAAATTACCCAGTCTCTGCTTGTATTTATGAGCAGTGTGAGAACAGATTAATATAACTGAGTACCAAGATGTTTCTCAGAGACATTTTAATCTAAACTTACTGTTGATTTGATCCTTGCAATAAAACTGAGTTCTAACCAATCCTTGTTTTCCAAAGGCCTTTTTGGCTTTATGTTTTATTTGTTGGGGTTATGAAGCAGCTGCCTCTTCTAAACCTACAAATCCCTGAATTTCATAAATACTTCTATATCCTTTTATTTATTTATTAATTTTGCCCCATGACCAATTGATTTTAGAGTTCATCTCTTTTATGTGATAGCTCATTACAAACATTTTTTTTTTCTGACTTATTTTTTCTGTTGCTACAATAACATCTTTACTAAATGTTTGACACTGAATAACTTGGACAATCATCTCTCCAGCCTTTGGCATCAGTTTTCTTATCAGCTGCCTCCTGGTCACTAGCAAAATGTGACCGATATTCAATGATGGTGGGTTTTGTGTTTTTGTTTTTTACTTGATTGGTTAGTTATTATTTTGTAGCTGTCATACAGAACTTACTTCTAGAGACTGTTTTTGTAGCTGTCAGGGTAGGCTAGATTATGCCTTCATAACTAACAACCTCCATGATTTCAGAAACTTGCAACAATATAGATTTATTTTCTATGAATGCTATATGTTTGCCATGGGTCAGCTGTGAGTTCTGTTCCACATTCCTCATTCCTGGATCCAGGTTAATGAAGCAGCCTCCTTCCCAAACATTGTCATTTGCCATCACAAAAGGAAAAAAAAAAAAGCATGCATCAAATTGTGCACTTGCTCTCAAACCTTTGTAATGAGCTTAACTGGCAAAAGCAAATTTCACAGATATAAATAAATCCAAGGAAGTGGAGAAGTAAAATCTAAAAATCTAATTATATTCCAGAGAAGAATAAATAGAAATAATTGTCTAATGGTAGTAATAACTATCACCTTCTTTCTAAATGTGTACCTAACCTGGGCTTTTTAAATAAAATTACTCTTCAGTTTGAAATTGCTCTGAGAGCTTTTCATTTTTTATTCTTTGTCTAGACAATTATTTGCATTTTTACAGACAAGCAAAACTTAAGGATTTGCACAAAGAAACTCAGCAAGTGAATTTCAGTATGTAATCTTCACTAAATTGCACAGAACAGTGTGTTGTAGAAATAATCTAGGCTTGGTTTCATTGTGAATTGCGTTCAAGTCTCAACTACACAACTATATTTCTGAGCTAATGTGGCTAAGTTAGTTCACCTCCCTGAATTTCATGTTCTTCATTTGTCAATTACAAATAATAGGACTGTTTTCTGCATGTGTTGAAAATATAAAGCTTAATGTGTTATTGAAAGTGCTTCAATAATTCTGTTGTTAGATTGACATTTACTGCTGGAGTGTATAACAAGTCCTTCGACAATTCTATTGCTAGATTGAAGATAATTGTTGGTAAGACAAGTCTTGTCTTGCTAGTTGAGCTTACACTTCCAAGAACTCCTTAGGAAAAGGTGATTGCTCTTGTTGTGTGTGCTTCAGAAGTCTCACTCATTGAGAAGTAGCAGACTCTCTGATGAGAAGAGAGAGTCAATTAGGTAGCGATGCAACAAAGCAGAGAGTATTTTGTGATCATCAGAAAAGGCTCAGTATGAAGTCAAGCATTTGTTTGAGGAGAGAAATCAGAGAACAAGATGCCAATTGGAGCCAGAGAGTCCTTTACTGTGGCAAAGTTGAAGATCTCTGGAAAAAGATTCTCTGAGGACCACCCTTCAGTTTGACTAAAGAGTGTGCTCAGTATGCTAATATCCAAGGGAGCTTATTGAACTCATGGGATTTTATGAGTGAGAGTTAAATGAAATTATGCTTGGTTTTATTCTGATTTGGGGGATAATTTTGACCCTGAAAAAAAAAATCCACCGAAACTTTTCAAGGATCACGATACTGTCTTCTGAAATTAACTGTATGTTTCAGTTTTATGGTAGTGGTTCTCAAATATTAAGTCCATAAGCATCACTTGAGAAACATGTGAGGACACTACAATTTCAAGACTTATCCCCTAAATTCCAAGATTTCAATTGGATGGCTTTGGGATTGGGCTTGGAAAGTTGCATGCACATAGATTGTGATTTGAGGAATTCTGACTAGTATCTCTTCATTTTGGTCCCAAATTAGAATCACCTGTCAAATTTTGAAAATAAAACTGGGTCTGAGATCCACCCCACACCAAATATTTGAGAATCTCAGAGGGTGGAGGGCCAGGAATGGGTATCTTTTTAAAGCATCTAAGTTGTTCTAATGCTCAGACAGGGTGAAGAATCTCAGTATCTAGTCTAAAAAGATCTCTATATGGTTAAATGAAGCAACGTCAGTATCTTAAAAAGGTATTTGCCATCCTAGGCTTTTCTTTTTATAGTATCACAGAATGTTAGTGTAGAAGGTATTCTAATAGAACTAGATTTTCCACTTACAATGCCTGCATTGTCCTATCAAGGTAAACAAGCCAAAAAAGGAGATTTCTAGCCCAGACTATGGGGGAAAAGGGAGTTCAGAGTTCAGAATCCCCTCCTAGTCAGAACCTGCAGATCCTTTCAGCATTCTCCTGCCCAAAACTTTATTTTTAAAATAAAATATATTGAGCATCTTTAAAGAGCTAAAGACACTTTAAAGTAATAGACACTTTAAAGAGATGCAGTAAGATTCTTATTCTTATGTCATAGGTAAAGAGACTAAGGCTCAGAGAGGGATGCTTTGTCAAGGAAGTAAGGAGAGGCAGGATCTGAACCCAGATCTATTTGACTGCAAAGCACAAGCTCTTGGTACTAACTTATTTTCAGATGTATTTATTACTAAATATTTTAGAAACACACAAAAGTATAACATATAATATAATAAACACCTAAGTACTGAACACTCTGCTTAACAAATAGAGTATTAAAAATATAGGTGAAAGCCTTATATAAATAACAATCTAACGTCATTCCTATCACTCATCTTCTTCCACTTTCAAAGTTGACAATGGGTAGAGCTGCAGCTGACATGGCCTTTCAGAGTTGTTTCCAATTAAAATAGAAGGCTGTGTCTCTATACCCCAGCCTTGGCCAGTCATTGGATACAAGATCCATCAGGAAGGCAAATGCATAACCTTGAGTGAAGCATCTTTCTTTGTCCAAGGGATTCACCTATGAGTTGTCAAAAGCTAACACTCCTGACAGCTGGGTGAACAATGTCATAGTTTTAAGGAGTACCTGGGAGGCAAATCACAGCATTCAACATAAATATTTATAGAAATATTTGCTACATTGTTGACTTGAGTTTGCACCTAGGTTTATAAAATAATTTGCTCATGACATAGATTAAAATGTTAGTCCAATTTCTTATAGTTTTAAATTCATAATTTTCTAGATCTGATTATCAAAGTTATGAAAGCCTTTTAGAAGAAACTGTGATGCCCTCCTTTTTTTCCATTCCCTGCTAATATTTTTTCCTTGAATGTTTGGGAAAACTCACTAGGAACACTGTCTGAATTGGCTTATTTTTGTATTTTTTTCTACATTATTTGTATTGCTTCTTTTTTTTAACTAACTGCTTTATTAGGTTGTTTTTCTAGTTATAGTTTAATCTTTTTCTTTTCTAAGTTAATAGCAATATTATTTAATATAAACACATGAAGATATATGGTTTTCTCAAAAGACTGCATTTGTGCATATCTTATTAATTTTGTAATGTATTATTTTATTATTTTTCTGCTTTATTTTCTAGTTTCTATTATGAGTTCTTTTTGAGCTATGGCTTATTTGGATTGTTTTATATTTGTAGGTCTACTTTTCAGTCATTATTTAGTTTTTTAAATTTTTAATTTAATTTCATTTCGGTCAGTGCTACGGTTTGGATGTTTGACCTCTCCAAACCTCATGTTGAAATTTTATCTCCAATGTTGGAGACAGGGCCTAATAAGAAGTGTTTGGATAATGGGGATGAATCTTTCATGAAGAGACTAATTCCTGCCCTTGGGTGTGAGTGAGCTCTTACTCTATTAGCTCTGGTGAGAGCTGATTGTTAAAAAGAGCCTGGTATCACCCCACACTCTCTCTTGCTTCCTCTCTCACCATGTGATTTCTGCACACACTGACTACCCTTTGCCTTCTGCCATGACTGAGAGCAGCCTGAAGCCCTCATTAGATGCAGATGCCCAATCTTAAACTTTCCAGCCATCAGAATCATGAGCCAAATAAGCCATTCTCTTTATAAATTACCCAGCCTCAGGTATTCCTTTATAACAACACAAAACACTAAGACAGAGAGCAAATACAGTCTCTGGAAAACTGGCACTTTGCTCTTTGTTGAGCCTCTCTTTACACTTGATGTGAAGTGAAATTGCAGAAATGCTCCACAACCACTTGAGAAACTTAAATATTCCTTAATTGATCTGCACAAGGTTGTATACATTCCATCATATTAAATTTCTTAATTGTTTAGTTTAAATCTTTTATGTCCAAAACAATAGCTTTGTTCCTCCGAACTAACCATTACTGGGAGAGATGTGTTAAAATCACCTAATTTTTTAATCAATTTTTAATATTTGGGTAAACTTATTATGCTTTGTAATAACTTGTACTTGCTTTTAGCTACATTATTAGGTATTTACAAGTTTATAACTTTATGTCTTCTTGGTAAAATGCAACTCTCATTATTATATAGTGACCTTGTTAAATCCAATACCTCTTTTTACCTTAAAATTTATTTTTCCTGAAATTAATATAGCTATGCCAGCTTTCTTTTTAAATTAGAATATGTATTTTCTCTATAATGTCTCTACAGTTTCAATTTTCTAACTTTTTATATCTGAATAAGTGTCATATAAACAGCAAATAGATTTTTAGAACTCCAATTTGAACAACCTCTGTTTCTTAACTGAAATGCATTACCATTAAAGTGTGTTATCATTTCTATAGATACAAAAATATTTGAACTTACCATGTTTTAAGCATACAGTTTTATACAAACTTCATTGCATTCTTTTCCCTCCTTTCAATTTTTATCTAAAATCTCTATTCATCTTCTCTTGAAGTTATATTACATATTTATGTTCCTTTAGTGATTATGTTTAAAAGTAAATATACTCTTATTCAGATAAAATAAACAATGATACAATATAAACAATTCCAGGGTTTAGTTAATCAAAAACATTTTTGCTGCTAATACAAAGGCAAATGCAAGTAGCTGTTCTCAGTAATTCTGCCAGCTATGAGAATTTCATGTTCACTAAGAAAAAGGCAAGGAAGGTTTTTTGTCCTTGCGATAGTTTGCTGAGAATGATAGTTTCCAGCTTCATCCATGTCCCTACAAAGGACATGAACTCATCATTTTTTATGGCTGCATAGTATTCCATGATGTATATGTGCCACATTTTCTTAATCCAGTCTATCATTGTTGGACATTTGGGTTGTGGGGTGGGGGGAGGGGGAAAGGATAGCATTAGGAGATATACCTAATGTTAAATGATGAGTTAATGGGTGCAGCACACAAACATGGCACATGTATACATATGTAACAAACCTGCACGTTGTGCACATGTACCCTAAAATTTAAAGTATAATTTAAAAAAAAAAAATGAAAGGAAAAGGCAAGGAAGGAAGAATTTTGTGCAAGTGACTTTTTCCTGGCTTGGCTCTGAAGTGATTGAAACATAAGCCAATTAAACTTCTTTTCTCTATAAATTACCCAGCTTATAGTATTAATTTATAGAATTACAAGAATGGTCTAATACAGCAAATTGGTACTGAGGAGGGGAGCATTGCTATAAGGATGCCTACAAATGAAGAAGTGATTTTGGAACTGGGTAGTAGGCAAAGGTTGGAAGAGTTTGGAGGGCTCAGAAGAAGACAGGAAAATATGAAAAAGTTTGGAACTTCCTAGAGACTGGTTAAATGTTTGTGACCAAATTGCAGATAGTGACATGAACAGTGAAGTCCTGGCTGCAAGGTATCAGATGGAAATGAGGAACTTATTAGGAACTGGAGCAAAGGTCACACATGTTGACTTAGCAAAGAGCTTGGCTGTATTGTGTTCATGCCCAGGGATCAGAGGAAACTTGAACTTTATAGTGATAATTTAGTGTATCTGGAAGAAGAAGAAATTCCTAAGCAGCAAAGCATTCAAGAAGTAGCCTGGCTGCTTCTAACAACCTACACTCAGATGCAGGTGCAAAGGGAAGACTTAAAGTTGGAACTTAACATTTAAAAGAGAAGCAGAGCATAACACTTTGGAAAATTTGGAGGCTGGTTATGTGGCAGAGAAATAAAAAGCTTCTTCAAGAGAAGAATTCAAGCAAGATGAGAAGCAACCACTTGCTAGATAAATTTGCATGACTAAAAGAGAACCAAGTGCTAATATCCAAGATAATGAGGAAAGGACCATGAAGGGATTTCAGAGATATTTGCAGCAGACCCTCCCATCACAGGCTCAAAAGCATAGGAGGAAAAAATGGTTTTGTGGGCCAGGCCCAGGGCCCTGCTGCCATGAGCAGCCTTGAGACACTACTCCCTGCATCCCAGCCACTCTGGCTTCAGCTGTGGCTCAAAGGAGGCCAGGTACAGCTCTAGCTGCCACTGAGAAGAATGCAAGCTGTAAGCCTTGGCAGCTTTCACATGGTGTTAAGCCTGTAGGTGTACAGAATGCAAGAGTGAAGAATGCTTGGGAGCCTCTGCCTAGATTTCAGTGGCTATATGCAAAAGCCTGGATTCCCAGGCAGAAGCCTCCTGCAGGGCAAAGCCCCCATGAGAACCTCTACTAGGGTAGTGCAGAGGCAAAGTGTCTGGTTGGAACCCCTACACAGGGTCCCCAATGGGGCATGGCCTAGTGAAGCTGTGAGAAGGGGCTACTGTCTTCCAGATTCAAGAATGATAGATTCACAGGCAGCCTTTACCCTGCACCTGGAAAATATAAACAGCAAATACCCTGCAACCTGGAAAAGTTGCAGATACTCAACACCAACCCATCACAGCAACCACAGAGGCTGAACCCTGCAAAACCACAGGGACAGAGCTACCCCTTGGAAGCCCACCCCTTGCATCAGTGTTCCCTGGATGTGGGACTTGGGGTCAAAGGAGATTATTTTGGAGCTTTAAGATTTAATCATTGCCCTGCTGGGTTTTGAACTTGCATGGGGTCTATTGCCCCTTTTCTTTGGCCTATTTCTCTTTTTTTGGAAGAAGAATGTTTACCCAGTGCTGACACCCCCATTTTATCTTGAAAGTAACTAACTTGTTTTTTATTTTACAGGCTCATAGGTGGAAAGGACTTGTCTTGTCTCAGATAAGACTTTGGACTTTGGGTATTTGAGTTCATACTGGAATTTAATGGGACTATTGGGGGACTATTGAGAAGGCATGAATTGTATTTTGCAATGTGAGAACGATATGACATTTAGGATAGGCCAGAGGTTAAATAATATGGTTTGGATATTTGTTCCTGCTCAAATCTCATATTGAGATGTAATGCCCAGTGTTGGAGGTGTGGCCTGGTGGATGGTGTTTTGGTCATGAGGATGGATCCCTCATGAATGACTTGGGCCATCTTCTTGGTGATAAGTGTGCTCTTGCTCTGAGTTTACACAAGATCTGGTCATTTAAAATGTATTTCTTTATAGCAATGAAAGGATTACCTAATAGAGTTACCACACATGTTTAAAACACGTGAGAATCTAAATTCAACCTCAATCCTTCTACCAAACAATCAAGGGATGAGAGAATATTTTAACTCTGATCTTCTCTCTTTTATTCATATCTGTAATAGTTGCTCAAATATTTTGTTGCATTGTGGTTTTCTGAGCTTTACATTAATTATTATTATGTTTTTAATTATCAACTACTATTGTTTAATAATTACTACTATTAACTACTATGCTTTAATAGTAACTATTATTATTATTATTACTCCTGCTACTACTCATATGATTTTTATCATTATCTTATAGTCAATGTGTGTTTAGATTTTCCATGTTTTACTCTTTGTTCACCATCTTTTTGTCTTATAGTCTTTCTTTCAGGTTCAATTTCCTTCAGTAGATCCTATGAAAGTTCTATGACTGAAGGTATGAAGTCTTTTGTCTGAAAATATTTATTGTTTTATTTATTCTTAAAGAATTTATATGGGCACAAAATTATAGATTAGCAATTGAGTATTCTCAATAATTTGAAATTTTTATTCCCTTATATTCTGGCTTCTCTTGTTGCTTTGAGATGTTTGCTATAATTTTAATTATTTTTCTATTATAGGTAGTTAATCTTTTCCCTGTGACTTCTCTTAAGAGCTCCTTTCTATCTTGAATGTTCTACAGTTTTACCACAATAAGTATACAATCAATTGAAGATGTCTAATGTTTCCTGAATGTGGTGATTCATCTCTGCCATTAATTCTGAAAATTTTCAGCTATTTAATTCAATTAAATATATGTTCATCCTTCTTATTTTGTCTTCCATTTCTCTTAATCTCTTTTTATATCTCCCATCTTTTGACTCACTATAGCAGATTTTCAGTGACTCAGATAAGTCTTTCAATTTGTTATTTTTTTCTTCAGTCTTTTAAAATTTTCTATTTTTACTTTTGTGAGCACATATTAGGTGTATGTACTTATAGGGTATATAAGATTTTGATATAGCATACAGTGCATAATAATCACATCAGGGTAAATAGAGTATACATCGCCTCAAGTATTTGTCCTTTCTTTGTATTACAAATAATCCAATTATACTTTTGCTATTTTTAAATGTACAATAAGTTATTGTTGACTGTAGTTACCTTCTTGTGCTAACAAATACTAGGCTAGGTCTGACTCATTCTATCTATGTTTTTGTACCCTTAACCATCTCCACTTCCCCCTCACCACTATACTTCCCAGTCCCTCCCTGATAATCTTCATTCTGCTCTATATTTCCATGAGTTCAATTACTTTAATTTTTAGCTGTCACAAATAAGTAAGAACATGTGAAGTTTGTCTTTCTGTGTCTGGCTTATTTCACTTAACATAATGACCTCCAGTTCCATCCTTGTTGTTGCAAATGACAGGATCTCACTCTTTTTTATGGCTGAATAGTACCCCCTTTTATATATGTATCACATTTCTTTCTCCATTCGTCTGTTGATGGACACTAAGGATGCTTCCAAATCTTGGCTGTCGTGAATAGTTCTGCAATAAACATGGGAGTGCAGATGTCTCTTCGATATACTGATTTCCTTTCTTTTGGGTATGTACCTACCAAGGAGATTGCTGGATCATATAGAAGTTCCATTTTTAGGGTATTCTTTTTTTTTTTTTGTCCCTCACCACACTCCCACTCTCTCCCCTTCCGAGTCTCCAATGCCTATTACACCACTTTGTATGCTTTTACGTGCCATAGCTTATCTCCTATATATAAACGAGAACATACCGTATTTTTTTATTCATGAGTTACTTAAAATAATAGCCTCTTGCTCCATCCACATTGCTACAAAACATATTGTTTCATTGTTTTTTTTTATGGCTGAGTAGCATTTCAGTGTCTGTATATCACATTTTCTTTATTCACTCATTGGTTGATGGACACGTAGGTTGGTTCCACATCTTTGCAGTTGTGAATTGTGCTGTAATTGTGCACAATTGCATATGCATATGTCTTTCTGATATAATTACTTATTTTCCTTTGGATATGTAGCCAGTAGTGGGATTATTGAATCAAATGGTAGCTCTACTTTTATTTCTTTGAGAAATATCAATACTATTTTCAATATAAGTTGTACTAATTTACATTGCCACCAGCTGTATATAAGCATTCCCTTTCACTTTGTCCATGCCAACATCTATTCTTTTTGACTTTTTACTAATGGGCATTGTGGTCGTGGTAAGGTAGAATCTGATTGTTGTTTTAATTTGCATTTTCCCGAGGATTAGTCATGTTTGGCTTTTTTTTTTTTTCATGAGTTTATTGGCCATTTGTATTTTTTTGAGAAGTATCTATTAATGTAATTTTCCCACTTTTTGGTGGGATTACTTGTCTTTTATTGCAAACTTGTTTGAGTTCCTTGTAGATTCTGGTTATTAGTCCTTTGTCAGATGCATACTTTGCAAATATTTACTCCCAGTCTGTGAGTTGTCTTTTTACTGAGATGATTATTTCTTTTGTTCTACAGAAGCTTTTTAGTTTAATTATATCTCATTTATTTAATTTTGTTTTTGTTGCATTTGCTTTTGGGGTTTTAGTCAATCTTTGCCCAGGTCAATATCCAGAAGTGTTTTTTCCTAGGTTGTCTTCCTCTAGAATTGATGTAGTTTCAGATCTCACATTTAAGTCTTTGATCTGTCTTGAGTTGATTTTTGTATAAGGTAAGAGATGAGAATCCAGTTTCGTTTTTCTACATGTTGCTTGCCAATTATCCCAGCACCATTTGTTAAAAAGATTGTCCTTTCCACACTTTATGTTTTTGTTTGCTTTGTCAAAAATAAGTCGGCTGTAGGTATTTGGGTTAATTTCTGGGTTCTCTAATCTGTTCCATTGGTCTATGTGCCTAGTTTTATACCAATACCATGCTGTTTTGGTGACTATGGCCTTATAGTACAGTTTGAAGTCAGGTAATGTGATAGCTCCGGGTTTGTTCTTTTTGCTTAGTCTTGCTTTGGCTATGCGGGCTCTTTTTTGGTTCCATATAAATTTTAGGATTTTTTTTTTCAGTTCTGTGAAGAATAATGGTGGTATTTTGATGGGAACTGCAGTGAATTTATAGATTATTTTTGACAGTATGTTCCTTTTCACAATACTGGTTCTACCCATCCATGAGCATGGGGTGTGTTTCCATTTGTGTCATCTATGATTTATTTCAGCAGTGTTTTGTAGTTTTTTTTGTAGAGGCCTTTCACCTCCTTGGTTAGGTATGTTCCTAAGTATTTTTTTTTGCAGCTATTGTAAAAGGGGTTGAGTTCTTGATATGATTCTCAGCTTGGTCACTGTTAGTGTAGAGCAGAGCTACTGATTTGTGTGCATTAATTTTTTTTTATTATACTTTAACTTTTAGGGTACACGCGCACATTGTGCTGGTTAGTTACATATGTATACATGTGCCATGCTGGTGCGCTGCACCCACTAACTCATCATCTAGCATTAGGTATATCTCCCGATGCTATCCCTCCCCCCTCCCCCCACCCCACAGCAGTCCCCAAAGTGTGATATTCCCCTTCCTGTGTCCATGTGTTCTCATTGTTCAATTCCCACCTATGAGTGAGAATATGTGGTGTTTGGTTTTTTGTTCTTGCGATAGTTTACTGAGAATGATGATTTCCAATTTCATCCATGTCCCTACAAAGGACATGAACTCATCATTTTTTATGGCTGCATAGTATTCCATGCTGTATATGTGCCACATTTTCTTAATCCAGTCTATCATTGTTGGACATTTGGGTTGGTTCCAAGTCTTTGCTATTGTGAATAATGCCGCAATAAACATACGTGTGCGTGTGTCTTTATAGGAGCATGATTCATAGTCCTTTGGGTATATACCCAGTAATGGGATGGCTGGGTCAAATGGTATTTCCAGTTCTAGATCCCTGAGGAATCGCCACACTGACTTCCACAATGGTTGAACGAGTTTACAGTCCCACCAACAGTGTAAAAGTGTTCCTATTTCTCCACATCCTCTCCAGCACCTGTTGTTTCCTGACTGTTTAATGATTGCCATTCTAACTGGTGTGAGATGGTATCTCATTGTGGTTTTGATTTGCATTTCTCTGATGGCCAGTGATGATGAGCATTTTTTCATGTGTTTTTTGGCTGCATAAATGTGTTCTTTTGAGAAGTGTCTGTTCATGTCCTTTGCCCACTTTTTGATGGGGTTGTTTGTTTTTTTCTTGTAAATTTGTTTGAGTTCATTGTAGATTCTGGATATTAGCCCTTTGTCAGATGAGTAGGTGGCAAAAATTTTCTTCCATTTTGTAGGTTGCCTGTTCACTCTGATGGTAGTTTCTTTTGCTGTGCAGAAGCTCTTTAGTTTAATGAGATCCCATTTGTCAATTTTGGCTTTGGTTGCCATTGCTTTTGGTGTTTTAGACATGAAGTCCTTGCCTATGCCTATGTCCTGAATGGTAATGCCTAGGTTTTCTTCTAGGGTTTTTATGGTTTTAGGTCTAATGTTTAACTCTTTAATCCATCTTGAATTGATTTTTGTATAAGGTGTAAGGAAGGGATCCAGTTTCAGCTTTCTACATATGGCTAGCCAGTTTTCCCAGCACCATTTATTAAATAGGGAATCCTTTCCCCATTGCTTGTTTTTCTCAGGTTTGTCAAAGATCAGATAGTTGTAGATATGCCGCGTTATTTCTGAGGGCTCTGTTCTGTTCCATTGATCTATATCTCTGTTTTGGTACCAGTACCATGCTGTTTTGGTTACTGTAGCCTTGTAGTATAGTTTGAAGTCAGGTAGTGTGATGCCTCCAGCTTTGTTCTTTTGGCTTAGGATTGACTTGGCGATGCGGGCTCTTTTTTGGTTCCATATGAACTTTAAAGTAGTTTTTTCCAATTCTGTGAAGAAAGTCATTGGTAGCTTGATGGGGATGGCATTGAATCTGTAAATTACCTTGGGCAGTATGGCCATTTTCACGATATTGATTCTTCCTACCCATGAGCATGGAATGTTCTTCCATTTGTTTGTATCCTCTTTTATTTCCTTGAGCAGTGGTTTGTAGTTCTCCTTGAAGAGGTCCTTCACATCCCTTGTAAGTTGGATTCCTAGGTATTTTATTCTCTTTGAAGCAATTGTGAATGGGAGTTCACTCATGATTTGGCTCTCTGTTTGTCTGTTGTTGGTGTATAAGAATGCTTGTGATTTTTGTACATTGATTTTGTATCCTGAGACTTTGCTGAAGTTGCTTATCAGCTTAAGGAGATTTTGGGCTGAGACAATGGGGTTTTCTAGATATACAATCATGTCGTCTGCAAACAGGGACAATTTGACTTCCTCTTTTCCTAATTGAATACCCTTTATTTCCTTCTCCTGCCTAATTGCCCTGGCCAGAACTTCCCACACTATGTTGAATAGGAGTGGTGAGAGAGGGCATCCCTGTCTTGTGCCCGTTTTCAAAGGGAATGCTTCCAGTTTTTGCCCATTCAGTATGATATTGGCTGTGGGTTTGTCATAGATAGCTCTTATTATTTTGAAATACGTCCCATCAATACCTAATTTATTGAGAGTTTTTAGCATGAAGGGTTGTTGAATTTTGTCAAAGGCTTTTTCTGCATCTATTGAGATAATCATGTGGTTTTTGTCTTTGGCTCTGTTTATATGCTGGATTACATTTATTGATTTGCATATATTGAACCAGCCTTGCATCCCAGGGATGAAGCCCACTTGATCATGGTGGATAAGCTTTTGGATGTGTTGCTGGATTCGTTTTGCCAGTATTTTATTGAGGATTTTTGCATCAATGTTCATCAAGGATATTGGTCTAAAATTCTCTTTTTTTTGTTGTGTCTCTGCCTGGCTTTGGTATCAGAATGATGCTGGCCTCATAAAATGAGTTAGGGAGGATTCCCTCTTTTTCTATTGATTGGAATAGTTTCAGAAGGAATGGTACCAGTTCCTCCTTGTACCTCTGGTAGAATTCGGCTGTGAATCCATCTGGTCCTGGACTCTTTTTGGTTGGTAAGCTATTGATTATTGCCACAATTTCAGCTCCTGTTATTGGTCTATTCAGAGATTCAACTTCTTCCCGGTTTAGTCTTGGGAGAGTGTATGTGTCCAGGAATTTATCCATTTCTTCTAGATTTTCTAGTTTATTTGCGTAGAGGTGTTTGTAGTATTCTCTGATGGTAGTTTGTATTTCTGTGGGATCGGTGGTGATATCCCCTTTATCATTTTTTATTGCGCCTATTTGATTCTTCTCTCTTTTTTTCTTTATTAGTCTTGCTAGCGGTCTATCAATTTTGTTGATCCTTTCAAAAAACCAGCTCCTGGATTCATTAATTTTTTGAAGGGTTTTGTGTGTCTCTATTTCCTTCAGTTCTGCTCTGATTTTAGTTATTTCTTGCCTTCTGCTAGCTTTTGAATGTGTTTGCTCTTGCTTTTCTAGTTCTTTTAATTGTGATGTTAGGGTGTCAATTTTGGATCTTTCCTGCTTTCTCTTGTGGGCATTTAGTGCTGTAAATTTCCCTCTACTGTGTGCATTAATTTTTGTATTCTGAAACTTTGCTGAATTCATGTATCAGTTCTAGAAGCTTTTTGGAGGAGTCTTTAGGGTTTTCTAGGTGGTCATATCATCAGCAAACAGCAACAGTTTGCTTTCCTCTTTACCAATTTGGATGCCCTTTCTTTCTTTCTCTTGCCTGATTGCTCTGGCTAGGAATCGCAGCACTATGTTGAATAGAATTGGTGAAAAAGGGCATCCTTGTCTTGTTCCAGTTTTTGGGGAAATGCATTCAACTTTTTCCACATTCAGTATAATTTGGGATGTGGGTTTGTCGTAGACGGCTTTTATTACATGAAGTTATGTCTCTTCTATGCTGATATTGTATATATCATAAAAGGGACTTAATCATAAAAGGATGCTGGATTTTATCAAATGCTTTTTCTGCATCTATTGAGATAATGATGTGATTTTGTTTTTAATTCTTTTTATGTGATGTATCACAGTTTTTGACTTATGTATGTTAAGCAATCCCTGCATCCCTGCTATGAAACCCACTTGATCATAGTAGATTTTCTTTTTTATATGCTGTTGGATTTTGTTTGCAATATTTTGTTGAGGATTTTTGCATTTACATTTATTTGGGATATTGGTCTGTAGTTTTCTTTTTTTATTATGTCATTCCCTGGTTTTGATATTAGGGTGATACCTGTTTCATAGAATGATTTATGGAGGATTCCCTCCTTATCTTTTGGAATAGTATCAATAGGATTGGTACCAATGGTTTGAATTTCTGATAGAATTCATCTATGAATTTGCCTGGTCCTGGACTTTTTTGCTGACAATTTTTTTATTACTATTTCAATCTTGCTGCTTGTTTTTGATCTGTTCAGAAATTTTATATCTCCCTTGTTTAATTTAAGAGGGTTGTATATTTCCTGGAATTTATCAATCTCCTCTAGACTTTCTAGTTTATGTGCATAAAGGTGCTCATAGTAGCCTTGAATAATCTTTTGTATTTCTGTGGTATCAGTTGTAATATCTCCTGTTTCATTTCTACTTGAGCTTACTTGGTTCTTCTCTCTTCTTTTCATGGTTAATCTCCCTAATGGTCTATCAATTGTATTTGTGTTTTCAAAGAACCAGGTTTTTGTTTCATTTATCTCTGGTATTGTTTTGTTATTGTTGTTGTTTCTTTGCTGTTGCTTCACTTTCATCTAGCTCTGCTCCGATCTTCATTATTTCTTTTCTTCTGCTGAGTTTGACCTTGGATTGCTCTTGTTTCTCCAGTTTCATGAGGTGTGACCTCAGATTGTTTGTTCTCTTTCAGACTTTTTGATGTAGGCATTTAATGCTATGAACTTTCCTTTTAGCACTGCTTTTGTTGCATGTCAGAGATTTTGATAAGTTGTGTCACTATTATTGTTCAGTTCAAAGAATTTTTAAATTTCCATCTTGATTTCATTGTTGACCCAATGACGATTCAGGAGAAGGTTATTTAATTTTTGTGTATTTTTATGGTTTTGAGGGTTCCTTTTGGAGTTGATTTCTAATTTTATTCCACTGTGGCATGAGAGAATACTTGATATAATTTTGATTTTCTTAAATTTACTGTGATTTGTTTTAAGGCCTATCATATGGTCTATCTTGGAGAGTGTTCCATGTGCTGATGAATAGAATGTATATTCTGCAGCTGTTGGGTAGAATGTTCTGTAAATATCTGTTAAGTCCATTTGTTGTAGGATACAGTTTAAGTCCATTGCTTCTTTGTTGACTTTCTGTCTTGAAGACCTGTCTAGTGCTGTCAGTGGAGTATTAAATTCCTCCACCATTATTGTGTTGCCATCTGTCTCATTTCTTAGACCTAGTAGTAATTGTTTTATAAATGTGGGAGCTCCAGTGTTAGGTGCATATATATATGGAGTTGTGATATTTTCGTTATATTATTATATAATGTTCCTCTTTGTCTTTTATAACTGCTGTTGCTTGTTTTGTCTGATATAAGAATAGCTACTCCTGTTCACTTTTGATTCCCGTTTGCATGGAGTATATTTTTCCACCCCTTTACCTTAAGTTCATGTGAGTCTTTATGTGTCAGGTGAGTCTTCTGAAGACAGCAGAAACTTGGTTGGTGAATTCTTATCCATTGTGCCATTCTGTATCTTTTAAGTGGAGCATTTAGTCCATTTACATTCAATTTTAGTATTGAGATGTGAGGTACTATTCTATTCATTGTGCTATTTGTTGCCTGAATACCTTTTTTTCATTGTATTATTGTTATATAGGTCCTGTGAGATTTAAGCTTTCAGGAGGTTCTATAGCGGTGTATTTCAAGGACTTGTTTCAAGATTTAGAGCTCCCTTTAGCAGTACTTGTAGTGCTGGTTTGGTGGAGGTGAATTCTCTCAGCATTTGTTTGTCTGAAAAAGACTGTATCTTATATCTTTCCTTCATTTATGAAATTTAGTTTCACTGGATATAAGATTCTTGGCTGATAATTGTTTTGCTTAAAGAGGCTAAAAATATTACCCCAATTTCTTCTAGCTTGTAGAGTTTCTGTTGAGAAATCTGCAATTAATCTGATAGTTTTTTCTTTATAGGTTACCTGATGCTTTTGCCTCACAGCTCCTAAGATTCTTTCCTTTGTCTTGACATTAGATAACCTGATGACCGTGTGCCTAGGCGATAATCTTTTTACAATGAATTTCCCAGGTGTTCTTTGAGCTTCATGTATTTGGATGTCTAGATTTCTAGCAAGGACAGGGAAGTTTTCCTCTATTATTCCCTCAAATATGTTTTCCAAACTTTTACATTTCTCACCTTCCTTGGGAACACCAATTATTCTTAGGTTTGGACATTTAATGTAGTCCCAAACTCCTTGGAGGCTTTGTTCATTTTTTAAATTATTTATTCTTTGTCTTTGATGGGTTGGATTAATTTCAAAGCCCTGTCTTCGAGCTCTGTGTTTTTTTCTTTGCTTGTTCCATTCTATTGCTGACACTTTCCAGTGCATTTTGCATTTATCTAAGTGTGTCCTTGATTTCAAGAAGTTGTGATTGTTTTTTATCTATGCTATCTATTGCACTGAAGAATTTTCCTTTTGTATCCTATATCACGTTTCTTATTTTTTTAAATTGGACTTCACCTTTCTCTGGTGCCACCTTGATTAGCTTAAAATTGATCTTCTGAATTCTTTTTCTGGCAATTCAGAGATTTTTGTCTTGGTTTGGATCCATTGCTGGTAAGCTGGTATAGTCTTTTGGTGATATTAAAGAACCTTGTTTTGTCATATTGCCAGAATTGTTTTTCTAGTTCTTTCTCATACGGGTAGACTATGTCTGGGATTCAAGGGCTGCTGCTCAGATTATTTTGAACCATGGGATGCTCCCTTTATGTGGTGTTCTCCCCCTTCCCCTAGGAATAGGGCTTCCTGAGAGCTAGACTGTAGTGATTGTTTTTGCTCTTCTGGGTCTAGGAACCCAGTGGAGCTACTGTGCTCTGGGCTAGTACTGGGGAGTGTCTCCAAAGAGTCCTATGTTGTGATCTATCTACAGGTCTTGCAGCCACTGATGCCAGCACCTGCTACAGTGGAGGTAGCAAGGGATTAAAGTGGACTCTGTGAGGGTCCTTGGTTGTGTTTTGTTTAGTGGGCTGGTTTTGTGTTGGTTGGCCTCCAGCCAGGAGGTGACCTTTTCAAGTATGCATCAGCTGCAGTCCTATAGGGAGGATGCAAACTTGCTCTAGGGACACCTGGTTAAGTATTCAGGTTTCTCAGGCAGTGGGCAGGGTCATAGGACTCCCAAGAGAATATGAGCTTTTTCTTCGGCTACCAGGGAAGGTAGAGAAAGACCACAAGGTGGAGGCAGGAATAGGCATATCTGAGCTCAGCCTATCTTTGCGCAAGGCTTACTGTAGCTCCTTTGGGAAATGGGGGTGTGGTTCCCAGTACGATGGAGATACATTTTCAGGGGAGTTATGCCTGCCTCTGCTGAGTCATACATGTTACCAGAGAAGTGGGGGAAAGCTGGCAGTTGCAGGTCATCCCACTCCCAAACAGCCCACAGTTCTAAAGGCCAGTCTCATTCCCAGCATGCCCCCACAACAGCACTGACTCTATTTCCAGACAGCTGGTGGCCAGGGCTGAGAACTTTCCCCAGACCACAAGCCTCCCCATTGAGAAAGCAAGCAGACACAGTTTTCAGCATCTCAGGGAGCCTGCAGCAGTGACCATTTCCTTCAAAAGATCTGTGGCTTTTCTGATGAAGCGTCTATGTTGTCTGGGGTATATACCCTGGAGTTCATTGTCTCAGGCCAGAAAAATTTAGGACACTAACACACACGAGTTTAGGAGCAGAAGCTTAACAGGCAGAAGAGAAGAGAAAGAAAAACAGCTCTCTCTACAGAGAGGTCTTCCAAGTGGAAAAAACCAGCTGGCCGTGGATGCATGGGATTTTATAGTCCGGCTTGAGGAGGCAGTGTATGACTTATGTAGAGCTCACAGATTGGTTCCATCAGTTGTGATATTTACCATAGCAAGTGTGGAAGGCTGGTCACCCCATCCTAATCTTATTATGCAAGTGAACTTTCCTTGGCCAGCACCATCTTATCTGCTCCTCACTGTACAAGTGGCTGGCAGAGAAGGGAAGATGGGGCCGCCATCTTGAACATGTCTTTTTCCTAGTTCCTGCCAGCATTCACCCATACAAGCTCCCAGCTTCCTTGTCTACGTCTGCAGCTCAACTTTACAGGTTACTCTTTGTTAGAAAATGATTTGGGGCTGCCTTTTATTAAAAAGAAAACCCTTACCAAGGACTGCCATACCCTTACTATCTGTATTTCCCCCTGGGGAGTGAGAACCCTAACTCCTGTTAGGGGGTGTTGGGCGATGACTCCATCTGGCTACTTCCAGCTGAAAAGGTGCATTGTATTAGGAACAGCAGCTAGGGCTCCTCCTGAGGCCAATCTAATGGTCCTTGGAAGAAAGGCGTGTCTATGTGTGGTTCAGTCTGCAGCACCATTTGGAGTTTAATTGTTTCTAGGTGAGAGGAAACAATTTGAGCTATAGTATTGAGTAGACAACGTCTAAACATTAATATAAAACATATGAGCAAGAGGGGGCTTAGCAATGGAGCTAACTAGTTCCACACAGAAGACTGGAATTCATTAAAGAGAAATTGTAACCATCCAGGGTTGGAGCCTGCATTTTTCTCTTAACCTGTCAATGATTTTAACTGGATCTTTAAGCACTTGTAGGTTTTCTTCTACTTGACTAGAGGGATTGATCCAGAAAGAGCATGCTTCATTTAAGACTGCACAGGTGCCCCTACCTTGACTGTAAGGATATCTAGGGCCTGTGTATTCTGTGCTACTACTGAGGCTAAAGAGTCCATGGATTGTTGTACTTCTATGGCTCCTACTGTTGCCTTCCATCTTTACTGCATCATAATGGAAATATTAAGTATGGACCTTTCAAGAAGAGGAACACCAAAAAACCAGAAGAGGCCTCTGGTTATAGAATTCCCTATCCATGGCCTTTTTATTTTTTTCATTTTTTATTTATTTTTGACAGAGTCTCGCTCTGTCGCCCAGGCTGGAGTGCAGTGGTGCGATCTCAGCTCATTGCAACCTCCGACTCCTGGGTCCACGCCATTCTCCTGCCTCAGCCTCCCAAGTAGCTGGGACTACAGGCACCCACCACCAGGCCCGGCTAATTTTTTTGTATTTTTAGTAGAGACGGGGTTTCACCATGTTAGCCAGGATAGTCTCCATCTCCTGACCTCATGATCCACCCGCCTTGGCCTCCCAAAGTGCTGGGATTACAGGCATAAGCCACCGTGTCCAGCCTCCATGGTCTTTCTAAGATGGGATTGTCATGTGCATGCCCTCCCCAATCTTCTCTTTTAGTTGAATCTCCATATAAGGGCTTGGAAATGACAGATCTCTTTGTTTGGCATATCTGAGATACTGCACTGTCTAAAAAGGAACATAGGTTAAGGAGGTTCACAGATGATGCCGCCAGATCAGTGGAATTTAAAAGGAATAGGTCGGGAACCACTGCTACTATAGTGCAGGTTCCTTTCCAGTGCCTAGAGAGGATTAAGTGTGGCCAGGGGCCACAAAGGAAATACAATCTTGTCCCTTGAAGAGATGGTTCTAAGTTGGACTTGTGAGAGGCACAGGCAGATCTTTCTCATATCTTAGAAGCTTTCTCCCCTTATATATAATAGAAGCCTCTTTGGAGTAGGGATAACCATACTCAGGATTGTCATTCACAATGCCGTTGGGAATCTTAAATGCTAAATAAGAAGGGTCCACCTGACAAGTGGATGAGTAGCCCTTGCTCATTTATTTATCTCTTATGATTTTCAGCTTAAAGTCTCCTATGTCTTCACACTGGTATCTGGGACTTTCCTCTGGGCTGTCAGGGGTTGCTCTCCCAGCTTTTCAGTCTTTCACTCGAGTGTGATGTATCCAGGAGTTGATACCTGTAACTTTTACCACCGAAGGGGTTTGAAGGAGAATGGTATAAGGCTCTTCCCAGGTTAGGCTTAGGGAAGGAGAGAGAAAAGGGAGAGCTTTTACCAATACCAAATCTCCTGGGTTAAATAAAGGTGGTCCTACTTCTTGGGGTTGGGCTTCTTCTTGTTGAGTTAATTCCTGTTGAAAGTGAATGAGAGACGTTACATGCTTAACCAACTCAGAGGTCTCTTAGCCTAATAAGAAATAATTGGTGAGGAAAGGCTGTCCAAACAGCATCTCAAAAGGGCTTAGACCTAACTTTGAAGTTGTGTTTCTTACCTGCATGAAGTCATGGGAAGAAGAGTCACCCAACGAAGGTGAGTTCTTGGGGCAGTTTCCTGAGGTGTCTTTTGATAATATCATTTGTCTTCTCTACCTTTCCTGAGGACTGGGGTCTCTAAGCGCAATGGAGATGATACAGTATGCCTAGTGCATTTGCGACCCCCTGTGTCATGGCTGCCTTAAGTGAGGGGCCCTTGTCACTTTGGAGGGGCTTAGGTAGACCAAAACAGGGAATAATTTCATTAGCTAACACCTTTACTACCTCAGAGACCTTTTCTCTACAGCTTGGAAATGTTTCTACCCAGTTAGTGAAAGTATCTACCTCTACCAGGAGGTAGTGGATGCCCTTTGTCTTGGGTATGTGAGGAAAGCTGCCAGCCCTCCCCTGGATAGCTTACCACCCTTTGGGTTGGAGGATAAAGGAGCCATCTCTGCAGGTGATTATTTTTAAGACAGACTTCACAAGCATTAACAACCTGTTTAACTGTTCTTAGTAAGTTCTCTCCTGAAAACAATCTCTGTGCATATTGATAAGTTTTATCCTTTCCCAAGTGAAAAGCCTGGTGAAGGATTTTAAGGACTTTCCACTGGCTGGAGGCTGTCAAGTGGAGCCATCCTCTGACTGCAGCCATCCTGAGGGCTGGAAGGTGTACCCTTGAGAAGTGGCCCATTCTATTTCTGTAGGGGAATACCAAGACTTGATTTCTTTTATGGAGCCTTCCCAGATTAGACGGGCTTCAAGTGTGTTAATGTCATGAGGCATCATCTCCAGGTACAATAAACATACGTGTGCGTGTGTCTTGAGAGTAGAATGATTTATATTCCTTTGGGTATATACCCAGTAATGAGATTGCTGGGGATTAAATTCCTGGTTCTAGATCCTTGAACCAGCTCCCCCCGCCCCCCCAACACACACACACACACACACACACACACACACACAAATGAATCTTGGAAGAGACTATGTGACAATTGCATTTGGGCAACTGTTGCATCCCTACTTAATGGAGGAAGCAGGCTGGTGTGAGCTCTATATCCTGCTATTATGGCCTGTGCTAAAGTGTTTCCCTTAGAGAATGGTTTCAGTTGCCTTCCATAATTAAAATTCCCTTAGTAATTAAGTACCATTCTAATAAAACGCAGAAATTTGCCTTAAAAGAACATACGGACCAAATGGCCATCTTCCTGCTAAGGGGACAGTATCAAGACTAAAATTTGGCTTTGGAGGATATTTTACTCCTAGTTGTAGAAGGCAGAGTTTTCCCATTTACAGAAGAAGCATGAAGACTAGTTTCTATACTAGAGAGGCACAAAAAGGGAGGAGAATTGGGAAGCTAGACTGTTTCAGTAAAGGACCAACAATGTGCCTCATGGAAAGGAACCCTATTCCACTAGGTGGCGCTGTAGACCTTAAAATGCCATGTGCTCTCCAGACTGGGGGCAGAGTGACCTTGACATGCCATGTGGTCTCCAGACCAAGGGCAGAGAGTGACCTGGAAGTGCTAAGTGCTCTCCAGACCAAGGGCAGAGAGTGACCTTGACGTGCCATGTGCTCTTCAGACCAAGGGCAGAGTGACCTTGACATGCGATGTGTTCTCCAGACCAAGGGCAGAGAGTGACCTGGAAGTGCCATGTGTTCTCCAGACCAAGGGCAGAGAGAGATGCTCACTGTGGTGGTGGTGGGTGGGGGGACCCTTTGTTCCTAGAAAATCACGCCAAACAACAGCTCTGTCTCTATAAAGAGAGAGGATGTTCCAAGTGGAAAAGACAGGCTGGCCATGGATGCACCAGATTTTATAGTCAGGCTTGAGGAAGTGGTGTCTGATTTACGTAGGGCTCACAGATTGGTTCAATCAGGTGTGACATTTACATATTATGCAAATGAACTTTCATTGGCCAGAGCCATCTTGTCTACTCCTTACTGTACATGTGGCTGGCAGAGAAGGGAAGGTGGAGCTGCCATCTTGAACAGTCTTGTCCCTAGTACCCATATAAGTTCCCAGCTTGCTTGTCTGTGTCTGCAGTTTGACTTTACAGGCTGCCGTCTGTTAGAAAACGATTTGGGGCTGCTTTTCATTTCGTTAAAAAGAAAAGCCTTACCGAGGACTCCCATAACCTTACTCTCTGCCTAAGTGATTTCTTCTTAACTCCTATATCACTGGTATGTTTCTGTAGTAGTTCTTGGAGCAAAAGTTCATGATGTGAATCTCCATATACTGCTCTGTCCATCCAAGTGGGAGCTGCAAGTTGGTACTGCCTCCTATTGGCCATCTTACTCTAAATCCTATTTTGCATTTTTTTTTCAATTTATATTTAGTTCTATGATCTTTGTTACTTTTTTTCTTCTGCTAACTTGAGTTTAGTTTGTCATTGTTTGTCTGCTTCCTTGAAGTGTGATGTTAGGTTGCCAATTTGTGCTATTTGAGACTATTTAATGTATGCGTTTAGTGCTATATCTTTTTCTCTTAGCACTGCTTTTGTTGTCTCCCAGAAGTTCTGATAATTTTTGTAAGAATTATCATTCATTTTGAAGAATTTTTAAATTTCCATCTTGACTTCCTTGTTAATTCAAAAATTCTTCAGGAAATTATTTAATTTTCATGGATTTGTCTAATTTTGAGGATTGCTTTTGGAGTTGATTTCTAGTTTTATTTCACTGTGATCTGAGAAGATACTTGATATGATTTTGATTTTTTAAAATTTATTGAAACTAGTTTTGTAACATCTTATATGGTCTAATTGGGGAATGTTCCATGTGCTGATGAAATAAATGTATATTCTGCAGTTCTTGGGTAGAATGTTTTGTAAATATCTGTTAGGCCCATTTGTTCTAGAGTATAGTTTAAGTTCAGTGTTTCTTTTTCAGTGGAGTGTTGAAGTTCCCCATTAGTATTGTTTTGTTGTCTCTCTTTGCTTAGTCTTAGTAGTAATTGTTTTATGAATCTGGAGCTCTAGAGTTAGGTGCATATATATTTAGGATTGTAACATTTTTTGTTAGACTGATCTTTTTATTATTGTAAATTGAACCTTCTTTTTTTCTGTTATTGCTTTAAAGTTTGTTTTGTCTGATATAAGAGCTACTCCTGCTCACTTTGGTTTCCATTTGCATGAAATATTTTTTCCATCCCTTTACCTTGAGTTTATAAGAATCCATACATGTGAGGACCTGGCAAGATGGCCAAATTGGAACAGCTCTGGTCTACAGCTCCCCACAAGACCAATGCAGCAGGCAGGGGATTTCAGCATTTCCAACTGAGGTACCCTGTTCATCTCATTGGGACTGGCTGGGCAGTGGGTGCAGCCCACGGAGGGTGAGCAGAAGCAGGGTGGGGCATCACCTCACCCAAGAAGTGCAAGGTGCAGGTGGCCTCCCTTTCCCAGCCAAGGGAAGCTGTGAGGGACTGTGCTATCCAGCCCAGATACTATGATTTTCCCACTGTTTTTGCAATCTGCAGACCAGGAGATTTCCTAGTGTGCCTCCACCACCAGGGCCCTGGGTTTCAAGCCCAAAATTGAGCAGCTGTTCGGGCAGACACCAACATAGCTGCAATCTTTTTTTTCTTTGTTCATTTGTTTGTTTGTTTGTTTCCGTACCCCAATGGTGCCTGGAACTCCAGCAAGACAGAACAATTCACTCCCCTGGGAAGGAGGGCTGAAGCCAGGGAGCCAAGTGGTCTCACTCAGCAGGTCTCACTCCCACAGAGGCCAGCAAGCTAAGGACCACTTGCTTGAAATTCTCACTGCCAGCACAGCAGTCTGAAGTTGACCTGGGACAATCGAGCATGGTGGGGGGAGGGGCATCCACCATTACTGATGCTTGAGTACACTGTTTTCCCCTGACAGCGCTAAGGAGGCCTGCAAGTTCAGACTGGGTGGAACTCAACAAAATAGCATGGCAAAGCGGCTGTGGTCAGACTGCCTCTTTTGATGCCTCTTCAATGGGCAGGGCATCGCTGAAAGAAAGGCAGCGCCCCAGTCAGGACTTACAGATAAAATTCCCATCTCCCTGGGACAGAGCATGTGGTGGATGGGTCAGCTGTGGGTGCAGCTTCAGTGAACTTAAACTTTCCTGCCTTCCTGCTCTGAAGATAGCAGCAGATCCTGACAAGGAGGGTTCTCCAAACACAGCATTTGAACTCCGCTAAGGGACAGACTGCCTCCTTAAGTAGGTCCCTGAACCCACACCCCCTCAAACCTCCTGACTGGGAGAGACTTCCCAACAGGGGTTGACAGACAGCTCATACAGGAGAGCTCCTGCTGGCATTAGGCAGGTGCCTCTCTGGGATGAAGCTTCCAGGGAAGGGAGCAGGTAGCATCTTTGTTGTTCTTCAGCCTCCACTGATGATACCCAGGCAAATAGTGTCTGGAGTGGGCCTCCAGAAAACTTCAACAGACCTGCAGAAGAGGGGCCTGACTGTAAGAAGAAAAACTAACAAAGAGAAAGCAATTAGCATCAACATCAACAAAAAAGGACCCCCACAGGGAAACCCCATCAGAAGGCCTCAAAGATCAAAGGTAGATAAATCCAGGAAGATGAGGAAAAGCCAGCACAAAAATGCTGAAAATTCCAAGAACCAGAATGCCACTTCTCCTCCAAATGATCACAACTCCTCTCTAGCAGGGCACAAAGCTGGATGGAAAATTAGTTTGATGAATTGACAGAAGTAGGCTTCAGAAGGTGAGTAATAACAAACTCCTCTAAGCTAAAGGAGTATGTTCTAACCCAATGAAAGGAAGCTAAGAACCTTGACAAAAAGCTATAGGAACTGTTAACTAGAATAATCAATTTAGAGAAGAACATAAATGACCTTATGGAGCTGTAAAACACAGCACGAGAATTTCGTGAAGCATACACAAGTATTCATAGCCTAATTAATCAAGTAGAAGAAAGGATATCAGAGACTGAAGATCAACTTACTGAAATAATGTGTGAAGACAACATTAGAGAAAAAAGAATGAAAAGTAATGAACAAAGCCTCCAAGAAATATGGGACTATGTGAAAAGACCAAACCTATGATTGATTGGGGTCCATGAAAGTGACGGGGAGAATGGAATCAAGTTGGAAAACACACTTCAGGATATTATCAAGGAGAAATTCCCCAATTTAGCAAAACAGGCCAACATTCAAACTCAGGAAATACAGAGAACACAACTAAGATACTCCTCGAGAAGAGCAACCCCAAGACACATAATTGTCAGATTCTCCAAGGTTTAAGTGAAGGAGAAAATTTTAAGGGCAGCCAGAGAGAAAAGTTAGATTACTTACAAAGGGAAACCCATCAGAGTAACAGCAGACCTCTCCCGCAGGAACTCTGAAAGCCAGGAGAGAGTAGGGGCCAATATTCAACATTCTTAAAAAAAAAAAAAAAGAATTTTCAACCCAGAATTTCATATCCAGCCAAACTAAGTTCCACAAGTGAAGGAGAAATAAAGTCCTTTACAGAGAAGCAAAAGCTGAGAGATTTTGTCACCACCAGGCCTGCCTCACGGGAGTTCCTGAAGGAAGCACTAAATATGGAAAGGAAAAACCAGTACCACCCACTGCAAAAATACCAAAATATAAAGACCAACGACACTGCATCAACTATGAAGAAACTGCATCAATTAATGTGCAAAATAACCAGCTAACATTATGATGATGGGATCAAATTTACACACAACAATATTAACCTTAAATGTAAATGGGCTAAATGCCCCAAATAAAAGAAACAGACTGGCAAATTTGATGAAGACTCAAGACCCATCGATGTTCTATATTCAGGAGACCCATCTCATGTGCAAAAACACACATAGGCTCAAAATAGAAGGATGGGGCAATATTTACCAAGCAAATGGAAAGCAAAAAAAAGCAAGGGTTGCAATCCTAGCCTCTGATAAAACAGACTTTAAACCAACAAAGACAAAAAAAGACAAAGAAGGGCATTACATAATGGTAAAGGGATCGAAACAACAAGAAGACCTAACTATCCTAAATTTATATGCACCCAATACAGGAGCACCGAGATTCATAAAGCAAGTCCTTAGAGACCTACAAAGAGACTTAGACTCCCACACAATAATAGTGGGAGACTTTAACACACCACTGTCAATATTAGACAGATCAATGAGACAGAAAATTAACAAGGATATTCAGGACTTGAACTCAGCTCTGGACCAAGCGGACCTAATAGACATCTACAGAACTCTCCACCCCAAATCAACAGAATATACATTTTTCTCAGCACCACATAGCACTTATTCTAAGATTGAACACATAATTGGAAGTAAAACACTCCTCAGCAAATGCAAAAGAATGGAAATCATAACAAACAACCTCTCAGACAACAGTGCAATCAAATTATAACTCAGGATTAAGAAAATCACTCAAAAATGCACAACTACATGGAAAGTGAACCACCTGCTCCTAAATGACTACTGGTTAAATAACAAAATTAAGGCAGAAATAAGTAAGTTATTTGAAACCAATAAGAACAAAGTGACAATGTACCAGAATCTCTGGGAGCCAGCTAAAGCATGTTTAGAGGGAAATTTATAGCACCAAGTGCCCACATCAGAAAGTGGGGAAGATCTAAAATCAGTACCCTAATATCAAAAATAAAAGAACTAGAGAAGCAAGAGCAAACACATTCAAAAGCTAGCAGAAGACAAGAAATAACTAAGATCTGAGCAGAACTGAAGAAGATAGAGACACAAAAAACCCTTCAAAAAATCAATGACTCCAGGAGCTGGTTTTTTTGAAAAGATTAACAGATAGATAGACTGCCAGCCAGACTAACAAAGAAGAAAAGACAGTAGAATCAATTAGACGCAATAAAAAATGATAAATGGGATACCACCGATCCCACAGAAATACAAACTACCATCAAAGAATACTATAAACACCTCTAGGCAAATAAACTAGAAAATCTAGAAGAAATGGATAAATTCCTGGAAACATACACCCTCCCAAGACTAAACCAGGAAAAAGTCGAATCCCCGAATAGATTAATAACAAGTTCTGTTATTGAGGCAGTTATTAATAGCCTACCAACCAAAAAAAAGCCCAGGACCAGACAGATTCACAACCGAATTCTACCAGAGGTACAAAGAGGAGCTGGTGCCATTCCTTCTGAAACTATTCTAAACAATGGAAAAAGAAGGACTCCTCCCTAACTCATTTTATGAGGCCAGCATCATCCTGATTCCAAAACCTGGCAGAGACACAACCACAAAAAAAAAAAAAAAAAAAAAAAGAAAAAAGAAAATTTCAGGCCAATATCCCTGACGAACATCAATGTGAAAATCCTCAATAAAATACTGGCAAACCAAATCCAGCAGCACATCAAAAAGCTTATCCACCACAATCAAATCAGCTTCATCCCTGGGATGCAAGGCTGGTTCAACACATGCAAATCAATAAATGTAATCCATCACATAAACAGAACTAATGACAAAAACCACAAGATTATCGCAATATATGCAGAAAAGGCCTTCAATAAGATTCAACACCCCTTCATGCTAAAAATCTCAATAAACTAGGTATTGATGGAACATATCTCAAAATAATAAGACATATTTATGATAAACCCATAGTCAATATCATACTGAATGAACAAAAGCTGGAGTCATTCCCTTGAATGGGGACATTGAAAGGGACACCCTTTCTCACCACTTCTATTCAACATAGTATTGAAAGTTCTGGCCAGGGCAATCAGGCAAGAGAAAGAAAGAAAGCATATTCAAATAGGAAGGGAGGAAGTCAAATTGTTTCTGTTTGCAGATGACATGATTGTATATTTAGAAAACCCCATCGTCTCAGCCCAAAAAGTCCTTAAGCTAATAAACAACTTCAGCAAAGTCCCAGGATACAAAAATCAATGTGCAAAAGTTACAAGCATTCCTATACACCAATAATAGACAAGCAGAGAGCCAAATCATGAGACAATAATAGACAAGCAGAGAGCCAAACCATTCACAATTGCTACAAAGAAAATAAAATACCTAGGAAAATACAACTTACAAGGGATGTAAAGGACCTCTTCAAGGAGAACTACAAACCACTGCTCAAGGAAACAAGAGAGGACACAAACAAATGGGAAAAAAAAATCATGCTCATGGATAGAATCAATATCGTGAAAGTGGCCATACTGCCTAAAGTAATTTATAGATTCAATGCTATTCCCATCAAGCTATCATTGACTTTCTTCACAGAACTAGAAAAAACTATTTTAAATTTCATATGGAACCTAAAAGGAGCACGTATAGCCAAGACAAGCCTAAGCAAAAAGAACAAACTTGGAGGCATCATGCTACCTGACTTCAAACTACACTACAAGGCTACAGTAAGCAAAACAGCATGGTACTGGTACCAAAACAGGTATATAGAACAATGGAACAGAGCAGAGGCCTCAGAAATAACACCACACATATACAACCATCTGTTCTTCCACAAACCTGACAAAAACAAGCAATGGGGAAAGGATTCCCTGTTTAATAAATGGTGCTCAGAAAACTGGCTAGCCATATGCAGAAAACTGGCTAGCCATATGCAGAAAACTGAAACTGGACCCCTTCCTCTACACCTCATACAAAAATTAACTCAAGATGAATGAAATACTTAAACATAGAACCTAAAACCATGAAAAGCCTAGAAGACAACCTAGGCAATACCATTCAGGACATAGGCATGGGCAAAGACTTCATGACTAAAACACAAAAACCATGGCAACAAAAGCCAAAATTGGCAAATGGGCTCTAATTAAACTAAAGAGCTTCTGCTCAGCAAAAGAAAGTATCATGAGAGTGAATAGGCAACCTACAGAAATGGGAGAAAATTTTTGCAATCTATCCATCTGACAAAGGTCTAGTATCCAGAATCTACAAGGAACTTAAACATATTTACAAGAAAAGAACAAACAATCCCATAAAAAGTGGGCAAAGGATATGAACAGATGCTTCTCAAAAGAAGACATTTATGCAGCCAACAAACATGAAAAACAGCTCATCATCACTGGTCATTAGGGAAATGCAAATCAAAACCACAATGAGATGTCATCTCATGCCAGTTAGAATGGCAATCATTAAAACGTCTGGAAACAACAGATGCTGGTGAGTTGTGGAGAAATAGGAACACTTTTACACTGGGAGTTGTAAATTAGTTCAACCATTGTGGAAGACAATGTGGCGATTCCTCAAGGATCTAGAACCAGAAATACCATTTGACCCAGCAGTCCCATTACTGGGTATATACCCAAAGAATTATAAATCATTCTACTATAAAGACACATGCACATGTATGTTTACTGCAGCACTATTTACAATAGAAAAGACTAGGAACCAACCCAAATGTCTGTCAATGGTAGACTGGAAAAAGAAAATGTGGCAGATATACACCATGGAATACTATGCAGCCATAAAAAAGAATGAGTTCATGTCCTTTGCAGGGACATAAACCATCATTCTCAGCAAACTAATGCAGGAACAGAAAACCAAACACCACATGTTCTCACTCATAAGTGATAGTTGAACAATGAGAACACGTGGACACACAGAGGGAAACATCACACAGTGGGGCCTGTCAGGGGTTGTGGGGAAAGGGCAGGGAGAAAATTAGGACAAATACCTAATTCATATGGGGCTTAAAACATAGACGATGGGTTGATAGGTGCAGTAAACCACCACGGCACATATATACCTATGTAACAAACCTGCATATTCAGCACATGTATCCCAGAACTTAAAGTGAAAAAAAAAAAAAAAAGTCAGGAAAGAAGAAAAAAAAAAAAGAATCCACACATGCACATGCTGGGTGAGTTTCCTGAAGATAGCAGATATTTGGTATGTGATTTTCTTAGCCATTCTGCCAATCTGTATCTCTTAAGTGTAGCATTTATAGTCACTATTAAGATGTGAGGTACTGTTCTAGCCATCAGGTTTATTGTTAGCATGGTATTTTGTTTTCTTTGTTATTTTATTGTATTTTAGGTCCTGCGAGTTTTATGCTATCAAGAGATTCTATTCTGTTGCATATTGACTTTTTGTTTCAAGCTTTAAAATTCCTTTTAGCAATGTTTATAGGGCAAGGCTAGTAGTGACAAGTCCCAAAGCTTTTCATTGTCTGAGAAAAACTTTATTTCTTCCTCATTTATGAAACTTAGATTTGCTGAATACAATATTCTTGACTGACAGTTATTATGTTCAAGGGGAATAAATATAGGACTCCAACCCATTCTGGCTGTAAGGTTTCTGCTGAGAAGTCTGCTGTTAGTCTGATAGGCTTTCCTTTATGTTACCTGATGCTCTTTTCTCAGTCCTCTTAGAATTTTTTTTGTTCAGGTTGTCTTTAAGTAGCCTGATCACTATCCATCTGCCTTAGCGATGTCCTTTTTGCAATGTATCTCCAAGAAGTTCTTTGTGCTTCTTGCATTTGGATCTCTAAATATCTAGCAGGGACAGGGAGATTTTCCTCCCAAATAAATTTTTGAAACTTTTTGCTTCATTTTCCTCCCTCAAGAACACCAGTTATTCTTAGATTTGGCCATTTTATATAATCCCATGTTTTGGGGGACTTTGTACATTTCTTTTAATTCCTTTTTCTGTATTTTTGTCTAATAGAGATGATTTGCAAGCCTTGTCTTTGAGCTCTAAAATTTTTTCTTCTACTTGGTCTCATCTATTGTTAAAACTTTCTATTACTGTAATCCCAGCACTTTGGGAGGCCGAGGCGGGCAGATCACAAGGTCAGGAGTTCAAGACCATCCTGGCCAACATGGTGAAACCCCATCTCTACTAAAAATACAAAAAAATTAGCCAGGCATGGTGGCGGGTGCCTGTAGTCCCAGCTACTCAGGAGGCTGAGGCAGGAGAATGGTGTGAACCTGGGAGGCGGAGCTTGCAGTGAGCCACTGCACTCCAGTCTGGGCGACAGAGCAAGACTCCATCTCAAAAAAAAGAAAAAAAAAAACTTTCTATTGCATTTCATCATTTCGTAAATGTGTTGCTCATTTTCATAAATTATGGTTACTTTTTCTTCAAAATACCTATTTCTGTAGAATGTTTTCATTTGTATCCTGATTTTTTAAAATCTATGTATAACATTTTTCACCTTTGTTTTTTATCTCCCTGAGTAGCTTAATAATTAATCTTTTGAATGTTTTATCTGGTATTTCAAAGATTTCATCTTGGTTTGGATCCACTGCTGGAGACAGCTAGCATGATCTTTTGGAGGTGTTATATAGTCCACTTTTGCCATATTGCCAGAATTATTTTTTTTGGTATTTTTCTCATTTAGGTAGACTAATTCTTATAATTATTTTTGAGTTTATTTTTTATTCAACCTTGATATTTTTAAAAATTTATTTCTTTTTCCCCCTTAAAGATCTACCTTTAATGTTTATAGTTTATTGTAGCATAATTCAACCTTGGGTGTTTTCAGGGGTAAATTTTCTGTATAAGTTCCTTGTTTGAATAGAGTTTCTTTATGGTAGCTTTCTCAGATGCTGGTTACAGTAGCAATGTGCTTGGTGTGTGTAGGTTCACTGTCTCCTATAGGGTGGATTGGCAGAAGTCTCTTTAAGATTATCTCCTTTCCCAGTAGTGTGCACATTTTTTATGTATTTTTTTCCCCAGTGTTCTATTTATTGGATTGAGCAGTTTAGGCTTCAGGCCAGCAGGGGAGATGTCAATGGGTAAAAACCAGCTATTGTGAAAATAGGTTGGTAAATGCAATGCCCATTGGTGTGAAGAGGTCCCATCCTTGACAGAAGTGGGTGGGGGAGTCCTTAGTAAAATGCACTGAAATCTTTTCTAGGGTAAGGGAGGCAGCCACCTCAGCTTCTCTTCCAGGCCAGCAGAAAAGCAGTCCACCTCTCTGTCACACTTCTGACCCAGTGTTCTATCTATTGAAGTCAAATAGGTACTTCTTTTTATTTGCAGAAATGCTGATGTTCCATGTAGAGAGGGATTGTGAATACGCTCTTCATGCAAGCCTACACATGGAGAATATTTTTTCTGTGGGAATGCAGTCACCCTACACTCTTCCAGAAAAGCTGTTTACAGGTGCACCCATGTCAAGCTCCCATTGGAAAAGGCCCCAGCTGTGTCTTCAGTGGTAACACAGCTTGGAAGAAGAATTCTAGGTGTGTAATTTAGGTGGCAATTGGAAGAAGAATTCTCCTTTTCCAAGACCCTTCAGGAGCACCAGAATTTTCTAAGTATTGGGAGGGTGCTGCAGACTTTCCCTGCTGAGCCCATTACTGCACCTTTGCCTCTACTGAAAGAAAGTTCCCACAAGCAAAAAGTTCTGGGACTCAGAGCCTGCTATCTTGATTTTTTTTTTTTTTGGCATGGGGTTCATCCTCAATTTGGTACACTCCTTCTACTAGGAGTAGGGATCCCTGAGGGCCAGAATACTATGAACTCTGCTGCTCTTCTGGGTCTAGCTGCCCATTGGGGGTGCCACACTCCAGGCTGGTGGTGGGGGATGTCTGCAAGGGGTCCACTGATGTGATCTGTCCTCAAGATTCCCAACAGTGGAATCCTCTGATGGGGGTGGCAGAGGAGGGACATGGAGTCTTTGAGATTCCTTAGTTAGAAACTGGCCTAGTGTATTAGTTTTTTCAAATGCCAATTGTTGTAGTAATGAACTGATCACATGGACAGACTCAAAATCTCCTGATTAGCCAAGGTGATGAAGATTATGGTAGATGAGGTCACATGCAAGTTTCCTGTTTCCTCCACACTGTTTTAATGCTTGCAGATGCTGTAATAGATTATGTCAGTTGGCCTCCATCCAGGAAGTGGTGCAGGTGGCACCAGCTGTGGTGATAGCAATGGGATTTGTGCTTGTCTTATGTTACCCAGGGTGGTACTCTGATGACTTGGGCAATGGATGTGGCCATAGAGCTCCCAAAGGTTTCTGTCTGTTATGTTAAGCTACTAGGGCAGGCAGAGAGGCAAAGCCACGTCAGGGCTGTCTCAGGCAAGTCCATCATCTGGCTTTCAATGTATGGGCACAAGCAGCAGCCTCAGTGGGGATTAAAGAGTAGTTCTCTAGATACGGACGTAATGTTCCAGGGTAAAATGGAGTTTCCTCTGCTGCGTAGAAGAGTCCACCCAGGTAGTGGAGAGTAACAGGCAGCAGTAATCCCCACCCAGTCCCAAACACATGAGAAGGCCAGTCTCAGACTAGCAGTGTTCCACTAGCATCAGCCAGCTATGTTCCAGGCAGTCTGCACTCAGAACTCAAAACTTTCCCAGGCCATAAGACTTCCCATGCAGAAACAGAAACCTCAGCTCTCCTCCTATCCCAGTTTGCCAACAAAACAAGAGCATTCAGCTCTTGCATTCATGGCTGCAGCACACTTCTCACTTGCCCTTCAGTTCTGGCCAAAGGAGTTTGTCCTCATGTAAGATTATGTCATGAATCTCAGTTGGGAGCTTCTTTCAACCTGTGACCACCATCTGTTATCTGGAAGATTTTTGTGAGGTCACCTGTGAGGTCGGATCAGGAACTGCTTTCTTTCATACCTGCTGGAGACTGGGAATGCACCTGAAACCTGTTCCAGTGCTGCTGCTTCTCATATACTCAGTAGCACTCAGTAAACCAGCCTCAGAGTTGCATAAGGTTAAGGCCTTCCCCCATGGCCTGGATTGCCAGGTTCCCCAGTAGGATTTTATAACCTAGAAACAATTTATCCCCCCTCTTACACTGTGGAGACTTACAGTTTTCTACCTGGCCCATGGTGTAGGCTGCAGCCTGCCACTTCTTTCAAAGTGTCTGATTTCTTTCCGTTTTCCCATTATGTTGCTGTGCTGCTTCTTGGAAAAATGTTCACGATGAGTTTTGACACACTCTTTGGTCTTTCCAAGAAGAGACATGTTAACAACATCTCCAATCCACTATCTGGGGCTGGAAGAACCTATTTTCAGTTTTTTGAGGAATCTCTAATCTGTTCCTTATAGTGATTGTACTAATTTACATTCCTACCAATAGTATACAAAAGTCCTCTTTTCTCCACATTTTTACCAGAATTTGTTACTGCCTGTCTTTTTAATATAAGTCATTTTAACTGAGGTGAAATGACATCTTATTGTAGTTTTTTTTGCATTTCTCTGATAATTAATAATGTTGATCATCTTTTCATATACCTGTTTGCCATTTGTATGTCTGCTTTGGGAAATGCCTATTTAGATGTTTTCCCCAGGTTTTAATTGGATTATTAGATTTTTATTGAGTTGTCTGAGCTTCTCATATATTATGGTTATTAATCCCTTGTCAGATGACTAGTTTGCAAATATTTTCTCCCATCCCATGAGTTGTCTCTTCACATAGTTGATTGTTTCCTTTGTTGTACAGAAGCTTTTTAACATGATGGGATCCCATTTGTCCATTTTTACTTTGGTTGCCTGTGCTTTTGGGCTTTGCTCAGTTTGATGTCCTGGAGAGTTTCCCCAATGGTTTCTTGTAGTACTTTCATAGTTTGAGGTCTTACACTTATGTCTACCTGATCTCTCTCTCTCTCTACCTCCTTTTTAAGGTAAATAACACTATATTTTCTCTTCTGAGACTACTGTTCAGATCTTATAGGCTTATTTCATTTATTATTATTATTTTTTGTCTCCTCTGACTGTGTATTTTCAAATAGCCTGTCTTCAAGCTCACTAACTTTTATTCTGCTTCATTAAATCTGCTGGTAAGAGACTCTAATGCATTCTTTAGTATGTCAATTGCTTTTTTTAACTCTTGAATTTCTTCATGATTTTTGTAATTATTTCAATATATTTATTAAATTAATCGGATAGGTTTCTGAATTCTTTTTCTGTGTTATCTTGAATTTTGTTGAATTTCCTCAAAACTGCTATTCTGAATCTTCTGTCTGAAAGGTCACATATCTCTATCTCTTCATGACTGGTCACTAGTGACTTATTTAGTTTGTTTTGTGAGGCTGTGTTTTCCTGGATAGTCTTAATGCTTGTGAATGTTTGACAGTGTCTGGGCCTGGAAGAGTTAGGTGTTTATTGTAGTCTTCACAGTCTGAGCTTTTATGTACTCATACTTTTTGGGAAGGCTTTCCAGGTATTTGAAGTGACTTGGTTGTTGTGTTCTAAGTTTTTGGTCACTGCAGCCATATATGCCTTAGGGAGCATTCCAATTTCCATAATGCTGTGGCTCTTGCAGTCTCGTAGAAATATTTCCTTTGTGGTCTTGAATAAGATCTAGAAGAATTCTCTGGATTACTGGGCAGGGTTTCTTGTTCTTTTTCATTACTTCTCCCAAAAAATCTCTCTCTTTCTCTCTCTCTCTCTCTCTCTCTCTCTTTCTCCCTCTCTCCTGCACTCTCTGGAGCTGGGGAAGGAGTGACACAAGTACCCTCATGGTTACCACCACTGGAACTGTGCTGGGTCAGAACTAAAGCCAGCACAGCACTGTATTTCACCCAAGGCCCAGTGTAATCACCGTCTGGCTACCACCTATGTTCACTCAAGGCCCTAGGGCTTTACAGTCAGCAGGTGATGAAGCCAGCCAGGCTTGTGTCCTTCTCTTCAAGGTGGCAGGTTCCTCCTGTTACTGGGTGGGTCCAGAGATTCCATCTGGGAGACAGGGCCTGGAGTAAAAAACCTTAAACATTTACATGGTGCTCTATTCTACTGCAGCTGAGCTGGCACTCAAGCCACAAGACAAAAGACTTTCCCATTCTTCCCTTCATTTTCTACAAGTAGAAGAATCTCTCTTCATGGCCACCACTGCTCCAGACCTGTGGCGAGTACTGCCTGGTTATTGCCAATGTTCATTCAAAGCCCGAGGGCACTTTAATCAGCTTTTGGTGAATGCTGCCAAGACTAAGACTCTCCCTTCGGGGCAATAGGCTCCCTTCTGGCCCAAGGCAGGTCCAGAAATGCCAACAAATAGCCAAAGTGTAAAATCAGGGTTACCAGAAGCTCAGTTGGTGCTCTACCCCACTGTGGCTGAGCAGGTACCTAAGCTACAAGACAAAGTCCCTGTTATTCGTTTCTCTCCTTTTCTCAAGCAGAATGAGTCCCTACTCACACCCACCACTGCTGGAAATGTACTGGGCCACCCTTAAGGCCAGCACTTCTCTGAGTCTCATCCAAGACCCATGGTCAGTATCCCTGGGTACTGCTGCTGATTGATCAGGGGCCAGGGGCTCCTTATTCAGCGAGTGATGAATCCCACCAGGACTGGGTCCTTCCCTTCAAGGCAGCAGATTCCCTTCTGGCCTAGTGTGTGTCTAGAAATGTCATTTAGGAGCTAGGGCCTGGAATGGGGGCCTCAGGACTCTGCCCGTTGCCCTATCCTATTGTGGCTGCTCGAGCTAGTATCCAAGTTGCAAGTGAAAGTCCTTTATACTCTTCCCTCTCCTCTCCTCAAGTGGATAGAAGGAGTCTCTCCCAGAGCTACAAGCTGTGCTGCCTGGGGTTAGGGGAGGGATGGTGAAAGCACACTCTTGGCAACCCTGGCTGGTGTCTCACTAGTTTACATGTCCCTCAAGTCCACTGGCTCTGAATCCAGCACACTACCAGGACTTGCCCAGGAATTGCAGTCCTTGTGGCCTAGACTGCCTTTTAAGTTTATTTAGGGCCCAGAGCACGTTAGCCTGCAGTGGCAAGGCTGCTGGAACTTAAATTATCACCACTGGGATGGGTGATTCCCCTCTGCCTAGGGCTGGTCTAAATGCTCCCTGTGTGGGCACTGGCTGAGTTCTGCCCAGTGTTGGCTTCCACTATAACAAAGCAGCACTGAGTTCCAATGCAAAGCATCACAATTACTGTGCTTTCCCTCCCACAAGCACATAGATTCTCTCTCCACGCTATGCTGCAGCTGCCAGAGGATGTGGGAGAGGTGGCGTTAGCAATTCAAGACTTTCCTATTCTCTTCAGAGCCTTTTTCAGTGATATGAAGTTAAAACCAGATACTTTGATTGCTCACCTGATTTTTGTTTCTTAAGGTGTTTTTTGTGTGGATAGTTGTTCAATGTGGTGTTCCTGAAGGCAGGGCAATCAATGGAGGATTCTATTCAGCTGTCTTTCTTTGCCCCTCCTTTTTCTTTAGGTTTTATAAAAAATCTAGGTTTTATTATAGTGTTGGGAGCTGAAAGCCTGAGGGATGTGACCAACTCAGCATTCTACTGGAGGCTATATGATCAAACAGCAAACTGTTTATCATGAATGCAGGATGTGGGCAAAATCACATCTGCCCCTGCCACCAGAAGGTATGCTGAGTGCTGTCACTCCCTGGCACCACACTCCTTGAGGTTATCTACTGGGACATCTGGAGCCTCTGTTCAAAGAATGTAGTCATGCAGGCCTGCAATAAATCAAGCAGCTGACCTACAACCACCCGCTTCTCCCTCTCTTCTTTACTCAATAAACACAAAGGGCTCTAGAAGCTGAGGGCCCTTGTTCACTAGAAGCAAGAAGCCCCCTGACCCCTTCTTCCAAACATACGCTTTTGTCTCTGTCTTTATTCCCACGTTCATCCTCCTTTTTCAGTCCACCAGCGTCCGCGGAAAAAATTTTATTGTCAATGATTTTATAATTTCCATTCATGTGTGTTCCATGTCATTTTTCAAATTTGCTCAAAGTACTTTTAGAATACCTTGTTCCTTTTTCATGTTTTCTATTCCATTATTTATTTCTAAAACACATTTATTTAATATGTTAACAGCTCATGGCATTTAGACTTTATGAAACTTTTTTCAGTAATGGATGAAACCTGGTATATCCTGGTTAACATTTAAGATCTTGTCCAGGATTATAGTGGATTTCATTTTTGTTTCCCACATATATCAAATCTGAAATACTATACCTAGGTAAGATTAAGGACAGCCAAAAAATAACCATATATTGTGCTCCTTTTTAACTCACAGTTTTTCTGTATCTTCACACATTGTCATCTTTTGTTCTTTTATTATATAACACTGTTTCTTCTGTTTTTTGGAAGAAAAGATCTCCTTTATCATGCCTTCACACTTGTTTCCTTTGGCAACTTTTTCTTCTATTAATTTCCATTCTACTGAACATGTATTTTTATTTTATTTTCTGCTGATATTTCTCTGCTGACAAACATGTTGAATCTGTAGATCCTAAAAGCAACCAAAAAGCAGAACCAAGTATTGCTTCACCCACCTACAGAGACTCCTCAGTTTCTTGGATATTGGTAGTCATTATGTTATTTATTCTCTGTATGGTTTCTTTTCTGAAAAGAACTAGGAAGGGAACCCATCCACTGGTATGTCACAAATTTAATGAGAGGGATCTAGAGTTTTCATGCCTCCTACCCACAGTTATAATATAAGGCAGAATCACCAAAGCCAAGAATTGGTCCAGAAATTAAATCAAGCTCACACTTAAAGTAAATCCAACAGCTAGGTTCTATCCTATTGCCCTATCCTATTGTGGCCTATTTGACCCCATAAACAGGAGGTCAAATCTAAAAGGAGGTCAAATTTAAAAAAAAATATGTATATCTTCTTTGGGAAAATGTCTCTTCAGTTCCTTTGCCCATTTTTTAATTAGGTTATTTGTGGTTTTTGGTTTTGTTTTACTATTGAGTTTGTGCACTCTTTATATGTTTTAGCTAATAAGCCCTCATCAGATATATGGTTTGCAAATATATTCCCTCATTCCCTAGGTTGTCTTTTTATTTTGCTGATTGTTTTCTTTGCTGTGCAAAATTCTTTTAGTTTGATGTAGTCCCACACATTTATTTTTGCTTGTATCTTCTGTGCTTTTGGTGGCAGAGCCAAAACTCATTGCCAAGACTAATGTCAAGGAGGTTTTTTTCTTATGTTTTCTTCTAGGAGTTCTATAGTTTTAGGTCTTACATCTAAGTCTTTAATTAATTATGAGTTAATTTTTGAATATGGTATAAGACAAGAATCTGGCTGGGCGTGGTGGCTCAATGCCTGTAATCCCAGCACTTTGGGAGGCCAAGGCAGGTGGATCACCTGAGGTTAGGAGTTCAATATCAGCCTGGTCAACATGGTGAAACCCTGTCTCTACTAAAAATACAAAAGTTAGCCAGGCATGGTGGTGCATGCCTATAGTCCCAGCTACTTGGGAGGCTGAGGCAGGAGAATCGTTTGAACATGGGAGGTGGAGGCTGCAGTGAGTCAGCTCCACGCTACTGCACTCCAGCCTGGGTGACAGAGTGTGACTCTGTCTCAAAAAAATAAAATCAAATTTTATTTTTCTGCATGTGAATATTCAGCTTTCTCTATACCATTTATTAAAAAGATTTTTCTTTTCCCATTGTGTATTCTTTGTGCTCTTGCCAAAGTTGACCATATATCTATAGGTTTATATATGGGCTCTTTATTCTATTCCATTGGTTTGCATGTCTGTTTTCATGCTGTTACCGTACTATTTTTATTACTGTAGCTTTGTAATACTGTTTGAAATCCAAAAGTTTGATGATTCCAGATTTGTTCCTCTTTCCCAAGATTACTTTGGCTATTCAGGGTCTTTTGTGGGTCCATAGGAATTTTAATTTTTTTTTCCTGTGTTTATGAAGAATGACATTGGAAGGGTGCTCAACATTACCAATCACCAGATAAATGCAATAAAAAATGTCATTTTGTACCTGTTAAAATGGCTATCATCAAAAAGATAAGAGATAACTGTTGGTGGAGGTATGGAGAAAAGGAATCATTACACACTATTGGTGGAAATATAGATTGGTACAGAAATTATCAAAAACAGTACGGAGGTTTCAATATAAATGAAAAATAAAACTGTCATACAATACACAATCCCACTTCCAGAAATACATCCAAAGGAAATGAAATCAGTGTCTTAAAGAGATATCAGCACCCACATCATTGCAACATTATTCACAATAGCCAAGATATGGAAACAACCTAAGTGTTCATCAAGAGATGGATGGATGAAGACTGTGATACATGTATACAATGGGATATTGGTACATATGTACAAAGGGACATTATTCAGCTTTAAGTGTTCATCAAGAGATGGATGGATGAAGACTGTGAAACATGTATACAATGGGATATTGGTACATATGTACAAAGGGACATTATTCAGCTTTAAGAAAGAAGAAAATTTTGCCATTTGTGACAACATAGATGAATCTGAAGGACATTATTCTAAGTGAAACAAGACAGACACAGAAAGACACATACTGGGTAATCACATTTATATATAGAATCTAAAAAGGCAGAACTCATAGAAACAGAGGGGATAATGGTGGTTTCTAGGACCTGGGGATGGGCATAGAAGAAATGCAGAGATGTTGACCAGAGTACAAACTTTCAGTTATAAGATGAACAAGGTCTGGGGATCTAATGTACAGCATAGGTGTGCAGGACAGTTCTCTCAGTGGCCTTGGACTGACCCAGTTCTCTCCTCTTTCTTGCTTGTAGTTCTCAAGAATAACTGTAGAATGTGTTGGGAATGACACATCCTGAGATAGGGAAGAACTGGCTGGAACAGCCCAGCCTTTGGGTCATTCCTCCCTAAAAACAGAATGTCCTTCATTGCTTTAGCCCAGTGGGATGTGTTGCCAACAGGGATAAAACCTAGGGCAGGCTGCTTTCTCAGATTTTTGAGGTGTAGTTCAAGTGGGG